>NC_000010.11:56203701-56355216 GCF_000001405.40 Homo sapiens
TAAGTGATACGTTAAAGAATAAATTCCATGGGAAATTAGAAAATATTTCAAATTGAATGAAAATGAAAACTCAATCTATCAAATTTGTAAGATACAGCTGAGATAAGGCTTAGAGTGAAATCTTTAGCTTTAAATGCCTGTATTTTAAAAGATTAAAAGGGCTTATGTAAATATTAAAGAAGCAATAAAAACAAACCTAAATAAAGTAGAACAATATTTAATGTACACGTGAGAATAGATAATACATTTTTAAATTAACAAGTAATAGAAAAATTAAATAATTATTTTTGAAAAGAGCAAAACAATTGATTAAACCCTCATTAGAACTATCAGGGATAAAAAAGATTAAGAAACTCATTAGAATTATCAGAAAGGAAAAAGATACATCTCAACAGAGACTCTACTGATAAAGTAAATAATAGAAGAATGTTATAAAACATAAATTGTGTGGAAAACTCAAATATCAAGATTGTCAAATTAAAATGCTATACCTATACAATAGTTTGAGTTCCTAATTAAAATATTGTCCCACCAAAAGAAAAACAGAAAGTAAAAAATAAATTAAAAATAAACATCAGAATCAGATTGCTAAAATGATGAATCGTACCAAACATTTAAGTCAGCAAATCATTCCTAAACAAACTCTTTCAGAGAACAATGATGGAAAACATCCAAATTACTTCATGTGGCCAGAATAGATGTTTATATTTAAACATATTTAATTTAAATATAATTTATATATAATGTGTTCATATAACTGTATAAGTATATATCTTAAACTCTTTAAACTGTGCAATTATAGTAGACAAATGCTATTTTATATAAACTACTTCAATACTGTTGATTAAATTTTAGAATTATCTTTTAGCATTTGTTCTTGAAAATAATCACATTAAGATCCATATGACTCAGAAGGTCACAGAGGATTCAAAATTTGAACTCTGGGCATCAAGAGTAAAATAATTTGTTTTATTGGTTTCCTGAAATTTGATCCTCATTGGAAAATAAAAAGGACTATTGAGCATTATTGGAAACATTGGAAAACATATATAGCTAGTTTTTGATAGGTCTGCTATACTTTACAGTTAATCTTTTAAATATTATGTAAAGATATTTGTTCCAACAAAGTTCATTGCCTACAGAAGCTGAGGCAGCAGTTAGTGACACTTGAAATGCCCAAACTATTGAGAAAAATAAAAAGACAAAAAATTATAGATAATTTTAAGAGTCATTATTATAGACACAGGAAGTCCACTATGGGTCTAACAAGAAAAGCCAAAGGAAAAAAAAAGAAAACAATAATAACAAATTGAAAATTAATTGGCATATGAGCAGATAATTAAGGGTCCAATAAAATCTCTAAGCTAAATAATTTTTCAGATAAACCTAAATAGGAATATGTTGACAATGAAACCAATAGAAAATGCCTCACTTTTGGAAAGACGTGAGGCACCCACTTTGGAGGCAAAGACACTCCAGGGAGCTACTGAGTTCACTGTTAATGAATTGCAGACACAGAGTGCAAATGAAATATGGATTAGAAAATAGAGTAATGAAAAGTTCTATTCATGGAAAATTTGAAGGTTAGTGGACAGAAATAACTGGGGAAAGTGAGAAATTATAGAATGGCAAATGGCATCAGTTAAGCTGTTCTCATAATAGCTCTTGAGGCTGATTCAATTTATAGACTCTGAAGTAAAGCCTTCCATAGGCACAAGCCAAAGATGTGGCACCCCAAGTCACTCCGCTCTACCATGTGAAAGTTTATGGAGGCAAGGTACCTATTCACCCAGCATCAGTGGTATCACTTGCCAATTTGCATACGAATAAACATGGATATTAATTATAAAACAATAAAACCTACAGATGCGTGGGAAATTAACAGCATGAAAGATAAAGAAGAAAAACAGCAAATGCATGTAGGTGGAGAGGGGAACAGATATAATTTTGTGACCAGAGGTAACTTTAGAAAGTAAATATCTATCTTCTGAGAGATTTGAGAAAATAACACTTCCATTTTTAAAAAATTTATTAAGATATGAAGAAATTATCACCAGAAAATTAGGAAGTATCTGTTTCTGGCTTCTGGCTGGTTGGAGGCTTTACTTTCCAGCCTGTCAGAAGGGCCACACTTAGGGCTGTAACTCTTTGTGAGAAATAAAGCTCTCCTTTCCAAATTAAAAAAAGAAAATTAAAAATTTTCTTAAAACTAATACAGTTTTCAGATTTATATTTGTATATGTGTATGTATACACATGTATGTGTATGCGTATCAAAAAATTATATATGAAATAAAAGTTGAGCCAATCTTTCAGAACATATAGTAAGATGTAGAAAATGTGAAAAAACCTGGCTTTGGGCCAGGCCTTATAGATAATATTGCCTTATTAAGTCAGTCTGTCTTCTAGCTAGGGTCTACTTAATAAATTGAAATGAGAATGTGTTAAATATTACCAAACTTTTAAAAATGTATGTATTGCAAAAAGGGGACTGAAAATTGCCAGGCTGAAATGTCAATAAAAGAGATTTGCAAACCAGATTTTCACCTTCTCAAATTTATTTTTGAATAATGTATTTCTAACAATATTGATCATATTTTTGAATAGCTAGGATTTGTTATACTTTTTTGATTTATTTGTGGAATTTTTCTTTAAACTACTGTACAGCAAATGTTTTCTTTCACTTATGTAATTTTTATACTGTTCTAGAATTAAGTATTTCTGGTTTCTAGCCCAATTCTTCAGCTAAATTATTAGGTAACCTTAATCAAGACAATTCAAGTCTCTGGGCCACCATTTTTATTATCTCTAACATAAGATTATATAGGCTATGTTACAGTTGATAATAGATTCTATTTTGATTGCTTCGTAAATGCCAGGCTAATAAGATATTTTCATATATCATCTCTATTGAATTCCTGATGCAACATTATTACAAGAAAAATAAACTCCTTCTATTAAAGACAATAAAATTGAGTCTTAGTGTATTTAACTAGTTTGATCAATAGAAGCATTCATATCCAGGTCTATATTGGTCACTATGCCATTCTGCCTTCATGAAGTTCTAATAAAACCACTAAATTCCCCAACTCCCACCCCCAGAGGATTTTTGTTTTGTTTCGTTTTCAACACACACTCTACTCCACTTTCCCTTTAAATAGTCTGCAGCATCTGTTGTTCCCATGTTTATGTACATGTGTGCTCAGTTATTATCTCCCAATTATAAATGAGAACGTGCTGTATTTGGTTTTCTGTTCTTGCATTAATTCACTTAGAATAATGGCCTCCAGCTGCATCCTGTTGCTAAAAAGGCATGCTTTCATTATTTTTATGGCTGAATAGTATTCCATGCTGTACATGAACCACATTTTCTTTCTCAATCTACCACTGATTGGCACTTAGTTTGAATATATGTTTTGATATTATAAATAGTGCAGCAATGAACATAAGAGTGCACGTGCACGTGTCTTTTTGGTATAATAATTTATTTTCCTTTGGGTATAAACCCAGTAATGAGATTGATGGATCTAATGGTACCTCTGCTTTAAGTTCTTTGAGAAATCTTCAAACTGCTTTCTGCAGTAGGTAGATTAATTTACAACTCCACCAACAGAGCATAAGCATTCCCCTTTCTCTGAAGTCTCAACAGCATAGTTGCTTTTTGACTTTTTGATGATAGCCATTCTGACTGGTGTGAGATGGTATATCCTTGTGGTTTTGCTTTGCATTTCTCGATGATTAGTGATGTGGAACATCTTTTAATATGTTTGTTAGCCACTTATCTGTCTTCTTCTAAGAAATATCTGTTTCTATCCTTTGCCCATTTTGTAATACGGTTATTTGTTTTTTGCCTGTTGATTAGTTTAACTACCTTATAGATTCTCTATATTAGACCTTTGTCAGATGCAGAGTTTGCGAATATTTTCTCCCATACTGTAGTTTGTCTGTTTACTCCGTTGATAGTTTTTTTTTGTTGTGCAGATTTTTAGTTTAATTAGGACCCTTTCATTAATTTTTGTTTTTGTTGGAATTGCTTTTGGGGACTTAGCCAAAAATTATTTGCAAAGGCCAGTGTTGAGATGGTTATTTCTTATGATTTCTTATAGGGTTTTGATGATTGGAGGTCATACATTTAAATCCTTAGTCTATCTTGAGTTGATTTTTGTTTATGTTGTAAGGGAAGGGTTCAGCTTCAATCCTCTACATATGGCTAGCCAGTTATCCCAGCATCACTTATTGAATAAAACTCTTTCTCCATTGCCTGTTTTGTCAACTTTGTCAAAGTTCAGATGTCTTTAAGTGTAGGGCCTTATTTCTGGTTCTGTATTATGATCCTCTATTTTGTGTGTCTGTTTTTGTACCAGTACCTGCTGAGTTGGTTACTGTAGACTTGTAATATAGTTTGAAGTTGGGTAGTGTGATGTCTATGGCTTTATTCTTTTTGCCTGGAATTTCTTTGTCTATTCAAGTCCTTTTTTGGTTCCATATGACTTTCAGAATAGTTTTTCCTAATTCTGTGAAGAACATCATAGGTAGTTTGGTAGAAATAGCATTGAATCTGTAAATGTATTTGGGTAGAATAATCATGTTAACAATATTGATTCTTGCTATCCGTGTGCATGGAATATGTTTTCATTTGTTTGTGTTGTCTTTGATTTCTGTCAGCAGCATTTTTTAATTCTTGTTGTAGATATTTTTACCTTTCTGGCTTGCTATATTCATAGATATTTTATTTTTTGTTGGCTATTGTACATAGGCTTAAATTCTAGAATATGGCTCTCAGCTTAGTTTTTTTGTTGTTGTTGTATAGAAATGCTACTAATTATTGTTCACTGGTTTTGTATACTGAAACCTTGATAAAGATGTTTATCATATGAGGGAGTTTTTGGGCAGAAACTGGGGGATTTTTACATGTATAAAATAATATCATCTGTGAAGATAGAGAATTTGACTTCCTCTCTTCCTATGTAGATGCCTTTGTTTCTTTCTCTTGCCTGATTGCTCTAGCTAGAACTTCCAGCTGAATAGGAATCATAAAGATGGGCATCCTTGTCGTGTTCTGCTTCTCAGGGGGAATGTTCCCAGCGTTTGCTCTTTCATCATGATGTTGATTATGGGTATGTCATAGACGGTTCTTATTATCTTAGGTTTCAATTCTAACTTTGTTGAAGATTTTTGACAAGAAAGGATGTTGAATTTATTGAAAGTTTCCTCTGTCTATTGAGATGATCATGTGGATTTTGTTTTTAGTTCTGTTTATTGGATGAATCACATTTACTGATTTACAAATTTCAAACCAACCTCACATCCCAGTAATAAACCCTGCTTGATTGTCACAGATTTGATGTACTGCTGGATTTGGTTTGGTAGTATTTTATTGAGGATATTTGAGTTGATGTTCATCAGGGATATTGGCCTGAAGTTTTCTTTCTTGATTGTGTTTCTGCCAGGTTTTGGTATAAGAACAGTGCTGGCATCACAGCAAGTTAGGGAGGAGTCCCGCCTCCTCATTTTTGGGGAAGAAATCTGGTAGGATTGGTACTAGTTCTCTTTATAGGTCTGGCAGAATTTGGCTGTGAATCCATCTGATCCAGTGCTCTTTCTGTTTGGTAGGGTTTTTATTATTGACTCAGTTTTGGAACATGTTATTGGTCCATTCAAGGTTTTTATTTATTCTTGGCTCAATCTTGGGAGTTTGTGTGTTTCCAGGAATTTATAAATTTCTTCCAGATTTTCTAGTTTGTGTGCATGGAAGTGTTTATAATGGTCTCTGATAGTTGTCTGTATTTCTTTGGGGTTGGTGAAAATGTCCTCTTTGTCATTTTTTATTGTGTTTATTTGGCTCTTCTTCTTTTTTTCTTTATTAGTCCAGCTAATGCTATAACAATTTTATTTAATCTTTCAAAGAACTAACTTCTGGTTTGATTGATCTTTTGTATGATTTTTTTGAGGCTCAATTTCATTCAGTGCAGCTCTGATTTTTGCTATTTCTTTTCTTTTGCTAACTTTGGGGTTGATTTTCTCTTGTTTCTCCAGTTCCTTTAGTTGTGATGTTAGGTTGTTCATTTGAGATCGTTCTAACTTTCTGATGTGAGCTTTACTACTATGAACTTTTGTCTTATTGCTTTAGCTGTGTCTTTGAGATCCTTATGTTGTGTCTTTGTTTCCATTAGTTTCAAAGAATCTCTAGATTTCTGTCATAACATCATTGCTTACCCAAAAGTCATTAAGGAGCAGGTTGTTTAATTCGCATGTAATTTATGCATTTTTGAGAGATATTCCTGGTATTAAGTTCCATTTCTATTGAGCTGTGGTTTGAATATGTGGTTGGTAAGATTTTTTTTTAATTTGTTGATAATTGTTTTATGGATGAGCGTATGGTTGATTTTTGAGTATGAGCCATATGCAGATGAGAAGAAGAGAAGAATATGTATTCTGTTTTTGTTAGGTGGGTTGTTCTCTACATGTCTGTTAGAGCCACTTGGTTAAGTTTTGAGAGTAGGTCCAAAATATATTTGTTATTTTTCTGCCTCAGTTATTTGTTTTGTGCTATCAGTGAGGGGGTCTTGAAGTTTTCCACTATTATTTTGTGGTTATCTGAGTCTCTTTTAAGGTCTCTGAGAATTTGCTTTATGAATCTGGGTGTTCCAGTGTTAGTTGCATATATATTTATACTAATTAAGTCTTCTTGTTGAATTGAACCCTTTATCATTACATAATGACTGATATGGTTTGGCTGTGTGCCCACCCAAATCTCATCTTGAATTGTAGCTCCCATAATTCCCACATGTTGTGGGAGGGACCCTGTGGGAGATAATTGAATCATGGGGGCAGTTTTCCCCATACTGTTCTCGTGATAGTGAGTAAGTCTCATGAGATCTGATGGTTTTATAAGGGGAAACCCCTTTCACTTGGCTCTCCTTCTCTCTTTGCCTGCTGCCATGTAAGACATGTCTTTCGCCTTTCGCCATGATTGTGAGGCATCCCCAGGCATGTGGAACTGTAAGTCAGTTAAACCTCTTTCCTTTGTAAATTACCCAGTCTCAGGTATTTCTTTATTAGCAGTGTGAGAAGAGACTAATACAATGCCCTTCTTTGTCTTTTCTGATTTTTGTTTGTTTACAGTCTGTTTTGCCTGAAATTAGAATAGCATATGAACAGACACTTCTCAAAAGAAGACATTTATGCAGCCAACAGACACATGAAAAAATGCTCATCATCACTGGCCATCAGAGAAATGCAAACCAAAACCACAATGAGATACCATCTCACACCAGTTAGAATGGCAATAATTAAAAAGAGGAAACAACAGGTGCTGGAGAGGGTGTGGAGAAATAGGAACACTTTTACACTGTTGGTGGGACTGTAAACTAGTTCAACCATTGTGGAAGTCAGTGTGGTGATTCCTCAAGGATCTAGAACTAGAAATACCATTTGACCCAGCGATCCCATTACTAGGTATATACCCAAAGGATTATAAATCATGCTGCTATAAAGACACATGCACACGTATGTTTACTGCAGCATTATTCACAACAGCAAAGACTTGGAACCAACCGAAATGTCCATCAATGATAGACTCAATAAAGAATATGTGGCACATATACACCATGAAATACTATGCAGCCATAAAAAAGGATGAGTTCATATCCTTTGTAGGGACATGGATGAAGCTGGAAACCATCATTCTCAGCAAACTATTGCAAGGACAGAAAACCAAACACCACATGTTCTCACTCATAGGTGGGAATTGAACAATGAGAACACTTGGACACAGGAAGGAGAACATCACTCACTGGGGTCTGTCATGGGGTGGGGGAGCGGGGAGGGATAGCATTCGGAGAAATACCTAATGTAAATGACGAGTTAATGGGTGCAGCACACCAACATGGCACATGTATACATATGTAACAAACCTGCATATTGTGCACATGTACCCTAGAACTTAAGGTATAATTTAAAAAAAAAAAGTTCTTCCTCCATCCCTTTATTTTGAGCCTTCATTTCTTTGATGGATAATCTCTTTCCTCCCATGTGGGGACAGTGTTACTTTCATCAGACTCTGCCATTACCTATCAATTATAATCTAGAACCAATGAGGGGAGACAGGCCTGATGGGTTTCCTTTGTTGGTGACCTTCCCTTTCTCTCTAGCTGTGTTTAATATTTTGTTTTGTTTTGTTTTTTCTTTTCATCCATGTTGGCTTGCAGTATCTGACAAGTATTTGTCTCAGTGATGGTTGTCTTGTATAGTATTTCACAGTGTTTCTGTGAATTTTCTGAATTTGAATGTTGACCCCACTGACAATGTTGGGAAAATTTTCATGAACTTTATCTTCAAATATGTTTTTCAAGTTGCTTTCTGTGTCTCTGCCTCCTTCAGAGACAATAGTGAGTCATAGGTTTGGTATCTTTATATCATCCCTTATTTCTCAGAGGTTTTATTCTTTATTTTATATTATTTTTTCTTTATTTTTGTCTGACTGAGTTGATTTGAATAACTGGTCTTTAAGCTCTGAGATTTCTTTCCTCTGCTTGCTCTGTTCTGCTCTTCATATTTCCAGTGGCATTAGAAAATTCTAGTGAGTTTTTCAGCTCTATCAGATCAGTTTGGTTATTTCGTAAACTGGCTATTCTTTTAGCTGTTAGGGTATTTTATTGGATTCCTTAGAGTCCTTGGATTAAGTTTTGATTTCTTCAGAATCTCGATGGACTTTGTTTTTATCCATATTCTGAATGCTATGTCTTTCATTTCAGCCTGGTTAAGAGCCTTTTTGGGGTGTTAGTGTGGTTGTTTAGAGGTAAGAAGACACTGTTGCTTTTGCAGTTGCCAGAGCTCTTGTGCTGTTTTTTTCTCATCTGTGTGGCCTGAATTATTCCTTTATCTCTGAAGTTGCTCTCTTTTGGGTAGGGTTTTTGATTTTATATTGTTTAATGCGTTTGAGGATTAGACTGTAGTATAAGATGGGTTCAGTCCACTGAATTCATTTCTGGATGATTTCAGTGGGCCAACACTCCTCTCAGCACTCCTGTGCTGTGACTTCTAACCCTGCCTGGCTGATACCAGGCCCAGAGCTTCGTTCTCTGGCCCCTCAAGGCTAAGCACCTACTATACTGGAGGAGCCATGTTGTTCCCAGTCCACTGGCAACAACACTCCAAGGGAGCATGCCAGTAAAAGCACTTTGTTGGAGTAGTGGCGGTGGATCCGTGCTTGTGAGCTTATGTTACTAGTGGTGGTACGGCAGAATCCACACATACTAGCGCTGATGGGGTGATGTTGTGGTGGGGTATGCATGCTCTAGCAGTGGTGGAGCAATGGCATCCATGCAGGTGCACTCACACCCCTGCTGGTGATGCACCATTTTCCACGTACACACATGTGCTGGTGGTTGCGGCACAGCAGGGTTCTTTCAGGCTGGTGGGGGTGGTGTGCCAAGTCTGCGTGCATATGCTAGCAACAGTGGTGGCAATGTGACAGTGTCCACAATCATGTGTGAGGCAGCAGCAGCAGGGGCATGGCTGTGTACACATGTGCCAATGTTGGGGGAGCGTAGTGACAGCAAGGTCTGCATACGCACATGCCTATGGCAACAACATGGTGGAGTGAGGCTGTTGGTGAGTTTACATTGGTAAAGACCTGTCTGCTAAAGCTCTCCAATGGTTAGAGAGTTCTGCCAGTGAACGAGCTATGGTGGTGGTCCCCAAGATGTGCCATGATTGAGCATCCAAGGCTGTGTTGCAAGTGGATACAGAGAAGCAGGAACCCTAGGAGAGACCAGCAGGCAGGAGGGTGCTCAGATTGGACTTTTCCCATTCCATGGGCAAGACCACTCTGCTTTGTCCTGGTTTTACCATCAACAAAAGGTAAAGCCACCTAGAAGACCATGGTAAGTCTTGAGGCATGGATGTTGCTGGTTGTGCTCTACTGCAGCCATTACTGGTTCAAAACTGTCGGGAGTCCTGTTCCTGTCACCTCTCCATGCAGCTCTCCTTGTCAGCTCAAATGTCCATGGGGGTAGTGGGGTCTCATGCAACTAGGAATCCTGAGGTACATGGAGAGAACAGACCATTCCTTGTCTAGTTAACTCACTCTTCCTCCCCTCTCAATGCCCTCTCTCCAAAGTTCTGCTCAGGGTGTGCCTGTCTTCTTGATTATCTGATCTCTCAGTGGGAGATGCTTTTCCTGGCTGCATCTATTTTGTCACCATGGGATAAATTTAAAACATCAAATGGATTAGATTTGACTACTCTGAAAAAAATAAAATAGAATAAAAAGAAACAGATAAAGGACTATCCAGAATAGGAGAAAATTATAATTGTGTTCAGTTTCTATGCAGGATAATTGCGTCTTCTGCAGTATTTGGATAATCAAGATGTCTTCTATTTACAGCAAAGTTTACATAAAATTCAAAATATGTTTATTATTCAGGGAACATTTATTAAGTACCTGTTTATACTAAGCAATATAAAATGAGGAATTATTCAGAGGTATTCATATTGGAAATATTTAATACATATGCATAAAACTGAAATAAAATAATACCAATGATTAAAAAGAGGATAATGACCTCAGACATCTTAGAAAAGTATGTAAATAACTAAAACCGTGAAAATACACAGATACGAGATTGTGAGGGATAGTACTGACAATGATCTCACTTGTGCATGCCCTAATTACAGACATTCTCATTCACTCTTTTTAAAATTATCCAGTGTCTTCTAAACGCCACATGCTTGCATGTTAAATACAGGTCCTGCATTTCCAGTCTTTAACCCGTGACAGTATTGTTTAAATGGTAATGTCTGTAAATTGGTTCTGAGATAATTTCAAGTAAGAGGTACAATCTCAGTGATTTACAAAACAAAAATTTATCTGTTCTTCATGTGAAATCCAAGGCAGGATTCTTAGTTGGGTAGTTTTCGTACTTGCTATCATTTAGATAAGCCTAAGGGACTTTGTTTCAATAGTCTCAAAATCCATTCCTAAGCAAATTATTCTAGTTCCAGTTGGTACAAATTTGTCATAGCCTTCATTTCTTTGATGGATAATCTCTTTCCTCCCATGTGGGGACAGTGTTACTTTCATCAGGCTCTGCCATTACCTATCAATTATAATCTAGAACCAATGAAGGGAGACAGGGGCATCTTTTCAGGGGAATAAGAATTTTTTTTAAGATTTTCATGTTAAATGAAGCTTTTGTATAGTCTCCACGCCATAGGAAGCAGCTATATTTTAGCAAGGGAAAGTAGGGATTTTTAATCTCATAGAGTTCAAATGTATTCTGGTGTTTAAATTATTATGCATTTATCTTCCTGTATTAAAATAAGTATTTCATGCACCCCATAAATATATGCACCTACTATGTACCCATAAAAATTGAAATTGACTAAAAAAAACGAGGGGCTGGGTGCAGTGGCTCACACCTATAATTCCAGCACTTTGGGAGGCCAATAGGACAGGTCACCTGAGGTCCAGAGTTTGAGACCAGCCTGGCTAACATAGTGAAACACCATCTGTAAAAATACAAAAAATTAGCCTGGCATGGTGGAATGCACCTGTAGTCCCAGCTACTCAGGAGGCTGAGGCAGGTGAATTGCTTGAACATGGGAGGCGGAGGATGCAGTGAGCATAGATGGTGCCAGGGCACTCCAGCCTGGGCGACAGAGTCAGACTTTGTCTCAATAAATAAAGAAAGAAAGAAAAAAGAAAAGAAAAAAAATCAGCTGTTCACAATTCTCAAACACATCCAGCCAAATGCCTCATCCTAGGCCTCAAAGGTCCTAATTCTTCTTTATTATTGCCCTGACTTTTGAGTTGGAGACCTATAAGAGTTCATCATAATCCAGTCTCTCTTCAAATTCTGCACTTTTACTATGAAATATTTGGCCTGACTTTAAGTATAGCCTGTCCTTCAGTTATGGAAATTGAGGTTCCTCTTAAACACTGCCATAAGTCTATTATAGCTTTCTCATGTTATACCCTAAATTGATAATTTGCTTACCTGGATAGCTCATCTTTTTTTCCTTCAGGGTTTCAAAATAGTTTGCAACAGGCAGACAACTCCACAGCTCTTATGATTACTCTTTCTAGAGCTATTGCATAAGCCAGTGAATTCCTAAAATTATATTCCACCTTGATGACCACAGGTCAGAGTTTTAGTAATTGTGATATTATAGCACACCACCATTTATCATTGCTTCATCGAGGACATCCTCATTAATATATGCTCAGAAAGTAATCCAGTTCTTCTAAGTCTATGCATGGCTACTACTTCCTAGGAATATTTCCAGTATCAGTTGTTTTGAGATACATTTCTCCAGCAATAAACTGAAAAACCTTTGTATGTTCTAATCTAGTAGTTATTTGCAAGGTAAAAGGTGAGTGGAAAATTGATGAAAGGTTGATGAAAGCCAATGTAGTGTGCTTTGTTTAGCAATTTACAACTGTAAGCAACTGAAATTTTTGAATCTGGATTTTGTAGTCACTTGCAGCCAAATGTAATCTTAACTAATAGAATCTGTTGTTTACTATCAAGAGCTCTGAATGCTCAGGTACATTTATTGAGTTTTTTCTTTGTGACAGGCACTGTGCTAAGTATTTTATACACACTGCTATTTGTTTGTTTGTTTTTTTTGAAATTCAGGAAATTTATTTACATGATTCATTGCATTAATAGAGCAAAGAAAATATAATATTATGTTGATCAATGCAAAAAAGCAAACAACAACAACAAAAACCCTTCAGAAAGATCAATACTGTGTGGTGAAGGGCTTTTTAACCTCAAAGTCATCAACCGTAAGGTGGCACTTTGATTAATTTGATACCAAAATTTAAGGGTTTCACTTTTATGAAGGTCACCACATACACAATTCATAGGCAGCCAGTAGGATGAAGAAGATATCTGCAATTCTAATATTGATGAGCTACTCTCTGAATATAACTTACTCTTGCATATCAACAAGAAAAAAGAAATCCAAAACGGTACAGATAGGTAAGTTACTAAAGAGGAAAATCAAAAGGCCAACAAGTATATAAAGGTGAGATAGGAGGCAGAACTTGACTCTGGAAGTGGGGCTTGGACATCCGACCAAATTGAGGATTAGCTAAAACAGGTTGGGGCAGAAGCACCTGCCCATAAGACAGGCCCACCAGTGTGCTGTGGCAACACCCAGAAATTACCACTTCTTTCCATGGCAACGAGGAGACAACCTGGAAGTTACTACTCTGATTCTAGAAATTTCTGCATAAACTGCCTCTTAATTTGCATATAATTAAAAGTGGGTATAAATAGGAATGAGTGCTGGAGTGCCTCTGGGCTGCTATTCTGGGCACACTGCCTATGGTTAGCCCTGTTCTGCAAGGAGCAGTACCACTGCTGCTGCTGTACACTGCAGCTTCAATAAAAGTTGCTGTTTAACACCGCTGACCCACCATTGAATTCTTTCCTGGAGGAAGCCAAGAATCCTCCTGGGCTAAACCCGGATTTAGGGGCTTGCCTGTCCTGTATCAAAGGGATGTCCAATTCAAATAATCAGGGAAACGAATATGAACACAACAATTAACACTTCTGAGAAGTCATCAAACTGTTTTTAAAGGGCCAGAGAGTAAATATCTTAGGCTTAGCAGGCCATATTGCCCCTTTGCAATTACTCAACCCTGTCACAGTAGCATGCAAGCAGCCTAGGCAATACATAAACAAATAGGCATGGCTATTTGATCCCTTAATAGTCAATGGAAGTGCTGTTATCTGCCATTTACAGAGGATGAATGTGACACTCAGAGGGATTGCCTCAGTTTCCCAAGGTTACACATTTGTTAAGTGACACTACCAGATTTTGAATTCATATCTGTCTGGTTAAAAAATTGTGCCGTTAATACTATAACACCTGGTATCTGATTCTACAATCAAAAATTTATGCTTTTATTGATATGAAATTTGTATTGTTCTGGCTTAGATTCTTTACATACATACAATGCCATTTACTATTGTACCTCTCTCTCACCTGAAAGCTTATCAAATACTAGATTGTAAAAATTATATCCCCTAACTCATCACTATTCTTCTACAGGCAAACAATTTTAATTAATTGGTTTCTCTTTTAATTGTTGTTGTTATGCTAATATAAGCATAGATTGTGTCTTCAAATAACTACTATCTAGAAAAAAAATAGAAAATATCCTAGAGAGCCTTTCTATGTGGTATATCATAGGGTGATCACCTCACCTCTCTTGTGCAATATTTATTAAAACAACCATTATTTGAAGCCTTATCGTACTTTTGAATCATGTCGAATAAATTGAATTTTTAACCTTATTATATATTAACTACCATTTAACTAGCTTTCTCTGTTCTGAATGTATTATGTTTTCAGCTTGAATGTGAAATCTTGCAGTTAACACTTTTATGTTGTAAATATTAATTAGCAGTTTTAGATCTACCAATATCTCTCTCAGTCTTTATTCTATCAAACTTAGTCAAGAAACCATCCAGATTTGTCTCTTCTCCAAGTAAAATAGTCTGTTATAACCTCACAAAATAATTATCAATTGAAACAGGCTAAATATAGCATAGTAGTTAAAATACCCAAGTAGAGATTAATTCTAAATTATTCTTGAGTGTTATACTTTAAATAATGACTCAAATCTTATTAGAATGGCATGTAGCTTAGCGCTGTCTCATAAAAATATCTCAGAAACCGTATCAAATATTTTGCTCAAATTTAGATTCACTATCATTAGTGTATTTCTATAATAGAAATTGTATGCCAAATAGTGTTTTAAAAAAGCATATATAGAAAGTAACTCATTATTTTTTAGAAACTGTACCTTCCTATAATAACTATAGATATGACTGAATATATAATTGGATATAAATGAATATAAATTATCTAAAATATGTATCCTAAAATCTATCTGTGACTTATTTTAACATTACTGACAAATGTTCTATACTATTCACACTGGTGTTATTGGGAACCTAACCATTTGCCCATCTTTAGCTTTTTGATTCCTCTCTTGTTCTCCCTAGCTCTGTAATGATCACATTTTCCATGATTTAACCCCTAATCTATGAGTTCATACATTCAGATAAAGACGACGGGACTCATTTATAGTGATCAAGTCTCCTAGCAACTCTACAATTATTTAAAAATTCAGATTCCTCTTATTATATTCATTCTCTCTATTCAGACAGAAAATACTATTTCTGCATAAAAAAAGAAAAATGCAAAATAGCAAAAGGTAAGTTTGAATCTGTCTTTGTTGTTAATCAGTCCTGAGCATCATACTTATTATTTTTGGGGAATTTCCAGAAACTTTCCAATTATGGAAGCAATATATCATCAATGGAGAAAATTATCAAAATGAAGACATATAAAATTAAGACATCTCTAGGTATGTATGTACATAGGCATGTATGAAATTATTATATAGGTTTACATTTATGCATAATGATAAATATTTAACATATAATTGGCATGTCTATATAATATCTTTGTAACTTCCTGATGACCACATAGGGTTGTTGTATTGGGTACATGTACTATGATTTACTTAACTTTACATGTTTGACTAGACATTTAGATTATTTCCAAAAGATAAAATTTAAAAATAACACACTGAAATACAGATAGTTATTTCAGATTGTTCAGAAAATTAATTAAAATTATTATCTTACTATCTAGCAGTAAAACTATCAAAATTGGCTATCCTGTCATATATTTATAGTTTATTCGAAACTGTTTTTCAAATTGACAATGGTTTTTACTTTGAATTTTAAAGTAGTTAAAATGTCCTGTACAGTTAGTGAACAACATTGCCGTTACATGCAACAGTCAGAGTCAGTTAACAGGCATTCAGTAGAACTTCAATATCTTAAATTGCAGTTTTTAAAAAATTATGTTTCTAAGTAATTTTGTCTTTTAGTCTCAAAAATTTTAATGGAAAAAAAATTTAATGTTGATAATTTGGAGCCCAAGTAAGCAAACTGAAATAATACTTTACATGTGTTTAATAAGTACTGCATATTCCTTAACTTCACAAAATATCTTCCTATGTAACCCATGTCATATGTTTTTTCAAACAGAAATGACAGTTTTTTTCATATTCAATAACAGTAGATCTTATCTCACTTGAGTAGGTGGCTCTAAATTTAAGAATAGCAGAAGGATACTCAACACATTTAAAAAAACGGGAATTTCAGGATCATCCCTTTGGACAGTTTGTAAAGATGTATTTAGTCTTGGGTTGGCAATTTTGTACATTCCTATTTCACTTGTTTAACTTTGTTGCAGTGAATCGCAGTATGACCACTGAAGCTTAAATATAAAAATGGATGTTAGGAAATAGCATGTTTTGAGAGAAAATGTTTGTTAAAATTGTGTAATTTGTTAGGAGCATATGATTCTCTTAATAGTAAATATAAATAAAGGGAATATGCTAGAATATTAGACAAAGTAAGAAATCCAAGAATAGTCCCAGGCTTCTGTAGTCTTCCGGGGAGTCTCTATTATCTAATTTCTGTTACCATGAACAAAACTTATTTTGGGACACAAATCTGGAAAGCCAATGCAAATATACCACAGTAATTATCTGAAAGGATCACAAAGCCAGATAAAGTTGAAAGTCTTAAAAAACACAAATGGCACAGTCTCCTTGCTGAGATTGCCAAGATAATAAAGACCCCTTCAGTTAGAAAGCTACAAAATGAAAATAATTCATAAACACTTCTTTGATTTTTACATTAATTATATATCCATTGGCCACATCCAATGTTTAGGCATTTTTACAACAACTGGAGATACAGAAATAACAAACTGAAACTAATCATTTTAGAGTCAGAGTCCCTAACATGAAGAAGCTTACCATTTAGTAAGGAAGATGTCATGGTACACAATTACTGCAACAAAGTATAATATATGCACCTACAATTTGAAAGTAGATTGCCAAGAAACATATAGGTGGAGAACCTAAACAATTATCTGGGCGTCAAGTAAAGCCTTTATGAGAAACTGGCGTCTAAGACAAGCTATACATTTTAATATCTGTTTGGTGTGAAGAGAGAAAGTATAGTAGACACTGAGGAAGTAACTTATGAATAGGTTGAAACCCAGACAAAAAATCTGGTGTCTCTGAGCATTTTTCTGGTGTGTTGTAAGGGGCTTATTCCATATAACTTTGGGAAATTACTTCTTGAAACAGATCTTCTGTCTGAACTTATATTAGTTATCCAGGTCTATTTACTTATTTACTTATTTATTCATTTATTTATTTGGTATAATTGTATTCTAAGACTGGAATTCAACAACCTCTCTAAACCAGAAATCTCTGTGCTTATATTGGTGAATTTAAATCACCCAAGTGTAACTTTCTCTTTACCCATCATTCATTAGGCTGACGCTTAATGGAATTACATATTATTCTCAGAGAAATCTAAGTCAGAAGAGTGGATCTGAAAAAGATTGGAGAGAATAAGATTGTAATACAGAGAGCAGTGTGAAATAATAAAATTTGTTTGAGCACATTGGGAGTTAAAGTACTTCATTTTAATAAATTAGAACTACCATTCCAAACATAGGTTGAAAGTAAATTTAAATTGCTTTAATTTATTCAAACCTTCTAAAATGGGATATGGATATGTAACATTAAATGAATGCGTTTTCAAAGGTTATTCATTATTAGATTTCATCCTGACGTTTACTCTGTTTAATCACAGAAAATTAGAAAGATTCTGTGTGACTCAGTTCAGAAAATATACCCAATAATAAGTTAAAAATAAAATTCATTTCAAAGGCACGGAAAATATAACATCAAGTTGGACTCTGCAAACGGCAGCCATTATTGTTTATAAATATTATTCCTTTGTGTTAAGAAAGATGCTCTTTCACATGGAACAAAGACGTGTATGGTGGAAGTTCAATATTCTAACAAATAGAAACATATAATAAAAAGTAAGAATAAAGATTTCCTCAAATATGTATTAATATTCTATTTTACTAGAATTATGTACACCTTATAGTTATTTCCAGAAAAAATGGTCTATAACTTTGAAGAAAAAAGAAGATATCCCAAAGAGTCTTGCTGTTGAAAGTCCATACCCAATAATTACATCTGGAGTGTCTACACATCTATATACCTGTATTGTTAACCAGTTACAGGTTTCCATAATAAAATGGGCATGCACTTCAGTTCATTTTATGTAGCCACTGCATTTTATATACATTTCCTACTGATTCCAAAATACATTACTATACAAAAAAGGGTCAGGGAATTCCTATATTAAACAATTCCATATAACATTGCTTTAATCTGCATATTGCAAAATTGTTTTCTGTATTTAATGCCTCCTAACTCAATCTTTGCACATTCACATTTGAAACAAGACAGACCTATTAGCACATTAATAAAATAAAATATTTATATTGTCAAAGTTTTACAATGAGTTTATATTACTGTTACAATCAGAATATGCAACAAACTTCTAGAGCATGGGTTTCAATGTACAATTTTAATAAAAATATTTCGAAAAATATGACTATTGTGAAATAACTTTATTACATATTTAAAATAACATGAGTCTGGCACAGAAATTTATTGACATTTTATATTTTAGTGGCTTACAGCAACAACAATTTCTTATTTCTCGTAATTCTCTAGGCTTAGAATTGGTGTGGGAGGTGGCTAACTGGGTGGCTCCTCTGCTACCCATAGTAATGGCTGCATTCACACGCAGGACTAGCTTTATTTGGTGGTAGGGCTGAGCTTAACCTCCAAGAAAGCTTCAATCACATGACTGAATTCTCAGGGTTCCTCTGTATCCTCTACCTTCCTGTGCTATATTTCATTATTCGGCATCTAGCCAGAGCTTTCTGTTCAGCATGGCAGCTGGCTTGGAGCTTGACTTCTTAATAATAACATTTAAAACTTACTAGTTGTAGGTATTTTATATATGGTGAGATAACTATTAAGTAGAAGGAAAGCAAATGGTTTAGTGATTTTAAGAGACTTGAATTAGGATTCGGATGTTGTAGTTCAATTCTTCTCTCGTCCAAGGGCAATTCATGGCTTTCAGTTTCTCAAATGAACTAATTTTTCTCCAATATAGATCATTGCATGTAATTTTAATACTGGTCTATCAGTTTAGTCCTTGCTTAACAGTTTGGAAAGCAACATTTAAAACAAATTACCAGCTGGAAATTTCTACTTAAGGATTAAAATTTGTTTTCATCATTTCTAAAATTTATGTATCAGAAGTCAGTGTCTTCCCTTGATGACACTAGGATCACCTTGCTAAATGAACTGATGCGCTCAACTGCTAGGGCTACTTACTGTTTCGTTTAAAAGATTTATGGGTCTTGGGATTTATCTAGAGGATATTATACTCAAGTAGTTGTTTTGGGCTTCACAGAAGTTTGATATAATAAGATTAAATAAAACATAGCAAAAACTTATAATCTAGGAAATATATACAAACTATTAAATTTGTTTTTTGTTTTGCCTTTTTAAAGCATTTTCTTTATTGCTTCATATTTAATGAGTTTACATATGAAGCTATGAAAGGCAAATATAAGCATGCTTTCTCAGAGGCTCATCAGAGGCTAGAAAACTCTTAATTTTAAATAAATTATTCTAATTATGTACATGCTTTAATAATGTGGTTTATGGTGCAGATCATATATTAAGTAAAATCAAGCTTTAAAAATTTTTTTCCATATTATTTTGGACTATAGTTTCTGAAATGATGCTAGCCAATGATTAATCTTAGGAGTTCTTAAGGTAAGTAAATAAATAACCAAAACAGAACACGTGGCATACTTCTTAAAAAATTTCATGAAGACACAAACAAACCTCCCAAGGAGAGGTAGATAGTCATATCTATTAAATTACATTGAATTCCTAGTTAGAAAACTTCCAACAAAAATAACTTCAGATCCAGATTTCTTTTTCCAGTGGCAAATATCTATTAAACAGTTAAGGAAGAAGTAATGCTCATTTTCCACAATATCTTTCAGAGATTAGAAGAAGAAACACTCTCGACTCATTTTATGAGGACAGCATTTTCCAAATTATTACAAGATGTTACAAGAGAAGAAAAATACAACCTCAAATCTCTCATGAACATGTATAAAAAAATTCTCAACATAATTAGAAAACTAAATTCATGAATAAAAAAAGGAAAGGAGGGGTAACCCAAGGAAAAAAATAGATTTATTAAACACTTTAAAATTGATGACTATCACCCACCATATTGGCAGATCAAAGAATGAAAACTTATCTAAATAGGTGCAGAAAAGGCATTTGATGTTATTCATCATCAATTCAAAAATAGTAACCCTTGGAAAACAAAGAATCTAAGGCGATTTCTTTAACTTGGTTAGAGGTATTCACAAAAACAGAAACACACACACGCACACACACACACAAAACAAACAAAAGCAAGACCTAAAGCTAACTCATATAATAATTGAAAAATGAAATGATTTTGCTATTTCCCTTTCAGGTTCAAAACCATGCTTCTACTCACATCATGCAGAAAGTCTTCACCAGTATAATAAAGCTAGCAAAAAAAGAAGGCATGCAGACTGGAAAGAAATAAATTTTTCCTATTACCATTATGACATGACTGCTACATAGAAACCACTGAAGAATTAGAAAAAAACTGAAAAATTATAATTAATCAATTCAAAATATTTGCTCTGCAAAAGACACTGACAACCAAAAGACCAACCTCAGATTTAGAGACTGTACATGCAAATAACCTTTCTAACAAATCAATTGTATCTGGAATACCTCAACATCTTTTAAAACTCAGCATCATAATAAGAAACAATCTAATATAAAGTGTGGAAAAGATCTGAAAAGGTGCTTCACCAAAGAGGATATACTAATGACAAATAATTATATAAAAGATGGTCAGCATCATTAGTCATCAGGGAATGTATACCCAAACTCAATGAGGTACTACCACAACACACCTATTAGAATTACAACATACAAGTAAGACACCTGATAATTCCAAGTTTTGATGAGAACACAGCCAATCCTCAACTCTCATACTTTGCTAATGGGAATGCAAATAACACACTTTGCAAAGCAGTTTGGCAGTTTCCTATATAGTTAAACATACATCTATCGTGTAATCCAGGGATTCCCCTTCAAGAAACGTTAAAAACTAATGTTCAGCCAATATCAGCATGCAAATGTTTACAGCATATTTATTTATAATCTCCAATAACTGGAAACATTATAGTTCTCTTTAAGCAGTTTATAGAGAAGCTTCCATACCGTGGCATACTACTCGCCTATAGAAAGGATAAGAAAATACTGATTTTCAAGACAATGCTAATGAATCTTAAACATATTTAAGTGAAATAATCCACATCCAAAAGGCAACTTGTTGTATAATTCCATTAGTATGATACTCTAGAGTAAGATAAGCTATAAGAGGGAGGCTGAATATTAAGAGGAATCAGGAGATTTTGGCAATGATGGAAGTAATCTATGTGAAACTATGATGGTAAATATATGACTTTGTGCATTTGCCAAAATCCACAGAACTGTACACCACAGAGTAAACTTTATACTGTATATAAATAAAGCTGTATGTAAATTTATTCTAAATGATAAAATTATATGTAAAATTAAAAAAATCAACCAGGATATCAGGATAATTTAGATTGGACACAGACTTTGACAAATCTAACTGTAGAAAAATGAATTGTATAAATAGCACTTCTTACCTGTTATCTATTAATATCTAAAATAACAGCTTGTTTTTCTTTTTATATATATATATGTATTTATTATACTTTAAGTTCTAGGGTGCATGTGCACAATGTGCAGGTTTGTTACATATGTATACATGTGCCATGTTGGTGTGCTGCACCCATTAACTCGTTAATTTGTCTTAAAAGATAATCTTAGAATTTCTATAAATCACCCATTTTTAGTTATGTAAAGCATAAAAGTATTTTTAAAATTGAATATGCTTCCAATACGCCACAGGAATAGGTTTGATTTGACAGATTTGTCAAGTAGACAAAGGACAAATATTTTCATTTTATACAAACAATTTATGCTGTAAATATATTCATTATTGTGTTCATAATTATATGTTGCTCTCTCAAGGCATTGGTCTTGTTAAGCATAGGGAAAAACAATAAAATATATGAATTAAAAAAATAAATAAAATAAAATAAAACAAAAAGAAAAATGAATTGTGTAACTACAGTAAAACATGTGGGGAAGAATGGTGCTAACCTAAGTAACTTTGCAAAACAGTGTTTAACTGGCTATTGCAGGGCTAAAAGCAAAAAGATCTTTACACAAACACCTTATTTTAGTAGTTAAATTTTTTTTTAGTAATGAATTTATATGTATGCTAGGGTTGATCATGTACATAAGTATGTTGTATGTAGTGAGAAAATAGTTTCTCCATGTCAGAGATAGAAGTTACAAATAAAGGAGGAAAGCTAGAGTGTACTCTGTAATGTTGGATTGACTTTGAAGTTAACTACAAATATAATTGTGTGTATATATGTGTATATATACACATGCACATATATATACATATATACAGACTGAAAGATACAAAACAAATATAGATGCATGTGGATATGCAATACTTAGCAATATTAGCATATATACATAGTATATATACATAATTTTCAGCAAATATGTGCAATGAGCAAAACTAATTGAATAGATACCAATTTGCAATCAAATAAATCAGACCTCTGCCAAGAACATGTTGATTCCAAGACCAGAGCAGAGACAATATGAGTTACAAGGTGACCTTGAAACATGTTATGATTACTTGAAGAAATGATCAGAAAAAATAAATATAAGGATATAATCATAACAAGGATCATAGAAGCCACTCTTAAAGAGCTCCTGTATTTGGTTTCACGACTATATAAAGAAATACCTGAGACTGGCTCATTTATAAAGAAAAGAGGTTTAATTGGCTCATGGTTCCACAAAATGTACGGGAAGCGTGGAAGCATCTGCTTCTGGGGAGGCCTCAGGGGGCTTTTAGTCATAGTAGAAGACAAAGCCAGAGCAAGTATCTTCATATGGCTGGAGCAGGAGGAAGAGAGATGGGGGCAGGTGCTGCACACTTTTAAACAACCAAATTTCATGAACTCACTATTGTGATGACAGCACCAAGGGGGATGGATGGTGTTAAACCTTGAGAAACTACCCCCATGATCCAATCACCTCCTACCAAGCCCCAGTTCCAACACTGGAAATTACAGTTGATCATGAAATTTGGGTTGGGACACAGATCCAAACCACATCATCTCCCAATATCCAAAGCTGGAATAATTATTTTATCATTGATAACACCTCTTTCTTATTACCCTCTTTGCATTCAGGAAAGAACTATTATTCGATATAACCATAAAAATGGTTGAAGGCTATTATTTGGTCTAACCATAAAATATTTAACTTCTGCATGTAGATTCATTTAACAAATATTTATTATGTATTCATGCACTTATCACTGTTCTAGGAAAGAGGACTTATAACTTTTTAAAAAGGTTAAAAATATTGCCTTCATGGAACATACATTTTAGTCATCAGGCATTAACAATTAAAAAATGTTAAATAATGTACAGTTCTAAAATGATGCCCATGCATTTAATCAAAAAGTTGAATTCACATTCTTCATAAGACTCATGTTTTGTTCATAGTGCCAAAGCATCCATTCCTGAAAGCATTTTGTTGAGTGTAGTGTAAATTGTTTATCTAGACAGTTCTAAACTTAACTATTTAGAGAACTTACATTAATGTAGGTTTGGAAGATCTTCCGATTTAACTTAGCCTAGATCTGTGGTGTCTGAAAGACCATCCCCATACAATTCTGATTCTTGCAAACAAATTACTGTCCGAGACAAAACAGGATGAACTTATTCTGCACTTAAATAAGGTGAAGATTGAAGACTTACTTCCCTTCAGAGATTGTGAGTAACAGAGAAGATAAAGGGTGTGGAGTTCAGATAGATAATAGCTTGAACTAGGTGAGCTGAAGACTGGGCTAAGTGAATATTGATACAAGTTAAGAATATTATTGTATTTGAAGTTGTTTTCATTACCTGAAAATGGGTACATATTTAATAATTTTTAATCACTTTTGTACACAAGTTACAAAATCTCTCATATATTGTCATATAAAAGATGAATCATGTTGCTGGCTAAACTGGAAAGAAAGAAGTAATATGTTTTGAGGTGAAAGTTGCACCTTCCCATTGGATGGTGAAAATCCAATGGGAATTTGCTGAAATCTTGGGAAGTCTGTGTGGTCTACCTCAGGCCATGATGCTGAGTTTCAGAGAATAGACTGGATATAATTTTCTCAGATAAGGATTGACAGTGAGGCCCCTGCTCACAGTTAAGTTATAGTTGTACATAAATCTTATTTCTGGAAAAAATATTTATTAAAAATCATTAATTCTGCAACATCACAGAAACTTGGCTAAAAATATAGAAGTATAATTCCTCTAACCTGACAGGACAGAATGACAGCAATAGCAAATGAGTTAAAATTATAATTTTCTTTTAATTTTCTATGTGAACTGATCCTAGATTCATGTTCAACATTTATACTAAACTCACCACCTATGCAAACACAATATCACACTGTTGGAAGTTAGGAGTACATGAGTATTTTTTATGTTATATTTTTATGTTAATACTGATTTACCAATTTATTTCTGGGACAATATAATTTCAGTCATGAACCATGACCTTTATGTCTCTGACAACTGTGACTTTTTATATTATGCATTTCTGAATTATTCAAAATTTAATTGCTGTTTTCCAGTATAACTCATCTAAGAACTAAACTATTATATCCATATTATCTATATAAATTATCTGAGTTAATTTTAGAAACTAACATATATACATGCTATTTGCAGGTAAGGAGCTAAAATATACATGGCATTTCTAGTTAAGAAATTGTTTTTGACATTTTCAATTGATAATAATACTCAGTCAAAAATATTTTCTAAATAAATGAAAATATAAAGAGAGGCTGCTTGGTAATGTCATTATGAATTAATTTTATTTTGGAAAACAGATTATGTATCCTTGAAAATCTAATTTATAATGGTTAAGGGAACAAACACTTTAATTATCTGGCTCTTGTCTTAGTTTTGATTTGTAACATCAAGGGAGATATGTCTAATTGTATTTATCCATGATTCGCATTGCTTACATAATTTTTCAATGGAGACTTCTAGAAAGACAAGATATTTAAATCTCTACATATTCAATTCTCAGTATGAAATAAACACCTTTTGTCATTAACTGACAATTGAGAAATGTTTCTTATATTAATCCATACATACCGTATCTCTTAAATTTGCCTGGAGTGTGATTCTTCAGTATGAATGAGTAAAGCAATAATGACATATACCATCCTGTGATTATCTGAAGCCATTTTTTTCTCCTTGTTCATCTTATGTTCAATAAGAGTGGTCTCTATCTTGACATAAGATAGGCCATTCACCATGTTTAGAATGTGCTTAAAAATTCACTCCACTTTTTTCTATGCGTATAAACACCCTTATTAGAGTTTACTACAGTAAATTCTTTTTTTCCCCAGCTGTTTTGACAGAATAGGAGGCAACATCATGGCAAAGCTGATATTGGTCTTTGTGGAAGATTAATTGGTAGATAAGATTTAAATATGATAATATGTTGAGTTTATTTTTGTCTTTGTCCAGAAAATGATTATACTCCTTTTCTTTTCATCTTTAAAAACATCTATTGCTTCAATGTACAACTAATTATAAATATGATAAAATTTCTTGTAAGATACAAGCATCTCATTTTTTATGTGCTGCTTTCAATAGTTTCATGAGCATATTTCCACAAGCATGTTTGGCCTATAATTTTTTATGTCTTTCTGTTTTAGTTCATTTTCTCTTTCTTATAGCAGATACATGAAACTGGGTAATTAATGAAGAATTGCAATTTATTTCTTATGGCTGTGGAGGCTAGGAAGTCCTAGGTTGAGGGGGCCCATCTGGTGAGAACCTTCTTGCTGGAAGGGACTCTCTGAAGAGTCCCATGATAGCAAAGGGTATCATATGGCAAGGGTGCTGAGCATACTAACATGCTAGCCCTAGTCAGACTAGAACTAAAATTTTTATAGCAATTATAGAATTTTAAAACTGGCATTATTCTGAAGCACCACCCAATTTCAGCCACTTAGAGCAAACAAACAAGATGTAAGACTGATATCTCACATCTTTATCCCTTTGTGTGGAAATGTGGACATGGAAGAGGAGACCAATGCTACGTGAGTCATATTAGAGAATTAGGAAAAGGAAAACAAAAATTGGATTTATCTTTATTTTAGCTTGCTATTTTGTTTATTATAAATTTTTGCATTAATTTTGGTATTTCAGAATACTACATTTTAATATTTATCTGGATTACTAAGTATTTTGGCAATCCTTTAAAATTTGCACCCAAGTCAAGTGCCTAATTTGCCTTACCCTAAATCTGAATCTAATAAAGTATTTCATAAAGACTAAAAAGTAATGAGTTCTGGATTATTCTGATACCAAAACCAAAAAAAGACATCAAAAGAAACAAAAACTACAGGCCAATGTATCTTATTAATATTGATGAAAACATGTTCAACAATATAAAAAGAATTTTACAACATGAAAATTATAATATATCCCAAGGTTGATTTAACCTCTTAAGATCAACTAATTAAATATATCATATTAATAGAAGAAATGACAAAAAAGATCATCCCAATACACACTGAAAAAAGTGTTTTACAAAACCAATAATTCTATTTTGTGATAAACACACTCAATTAATTAGGGACAGAAGTCTGTTTCCTCAACATAAAAAGTAGTTACATAAAATCCACAGATAACATCACACTTAAGGGTGAAATATTAAATGCTTTTCCCTAAGATCAAGAATAAGATATGAATGGTTAAGCATATAATTTCTAAAACTTTAGTCACAAGTTGTTTTATTTCTAAAAATACTGCTAACTGCAGTTGGACACCCATGCAATCAATCAATAACGCTGGAATTTAATAGGAAAGAAAACTCTGAGATGGTTTAAAAAGAAATTAGACAAGACAAACCTTTAAGAAGATATCAAACAAATTGAGAAGGACATGTTGAAAAAATATAGTATTAGAGGTAGCATATATTCAGCGAAAAAAAAAAAAAACAGATGACAAAATAAAAGTTCTCATTAAAAAAGTTTCTGTCTTTTCCAAAACAAATTTTGGGTGACAGGTGCTTTTATCTGATGTTTTATTCTGTTTATTTTCTAGGTTAACTCATCTTAAATCATCTGCTGCAAACTATATTGGCTACAAAGTGATGTTTTAAGCTTAATTTAGAGAGACCTGAATTTAAATTATGACTATATCTTTGTGAATATATGGTAGAAGTGTAACTTATCTTCTTTCAAACTCAGTACTCCGACCTGCAAATAGGTCACAAATTAGCCATTAGCAAATGATCATCAACGATATACTTGGTGCTGTGTCATCACTCTTTTTGGCAGTGATAATCCAAGGATAAAAAAAATCCATGGAGAAATTCAGTCTATGTAGAATATCTATCTTACTAGTGAAAATAAGCTGGCTTCTCCAGCTGGTTTCATCTTTTTCCTTTCTGTAATAAGGAAATCCTGCCATAGCTTACCCTAAAATACGCTGCAATAGACCCCCTTATCCACACTTTTGCTTTCTGTGGTTTCAGTTTCCCTGGTCAGCTACAGTCCGAAAATATTAAATAGAAAATTCCAGAAATAAATCTTAACCTTTAAATTGCATGCTGTTCTGAGTAGCATGATAAAATCTCATGCCGCCTCATTCTGTCTTGCCCAGGATGCGAATTCTCCTTCAGTTCAGTGTGTCAACACTGTCCACATTCTTCGCCCCTTAGTCACATAGTAGCCTTCTGGGCTATTGGATCCACTGCCACTGTATCCTAGTGCTTGTGTAAGTGGCCCTTATTTTACCTACTCCTGGCCCCAAAGTGTAAGAGAAGTGATGCTGGCAATTCACATATGTCAAAAAGAAGCCATAAAATACTTTTCTTTAACTGAAACGGTGAAAATTCTTGACAAGAAAGAAAAGAAAATGTATGCTGAGGTTCCTAAGATCTGGAACAAGAGGAAATATTGTCCATGAAATTGTGAAGAAAAAAGAAATTTGTGCTGGTTTTGTTGCTAAGTCTCAAACTGGAAAACTGTAAGTGCTGAGATAAGATGAAAAAGGCATTATATTTGTGGATAGAAGACATGGATAGAAAATGTGATTGACAGCAATGTTTTGAACCAGATTAACTTCATTTTAATTAAATGAAACTTTATTATGGGTATCTATGTATAGGAAAAAGCAAAGTATATACAGGGTTCAGTACTATCTATAATTTCAGACCTCCACTGGGAGTCTTGGAACATATCTCCTGTGGATAAGTGGGAACTACTACACTCAGAGTTGCCCACTTGTCACTCTTCACAAAAAAGTACCTACAGTTGTTTGGAGATATAATACAATAATACATATATATTATTGTACATATATACATATAGAAGTATATATGTATTATTGTATATATGTATATGTTATTACTATATTAGTTATTACTATATACATATGTATTATTATATATATGTTTGCTTATTATATATGTAGGTGTGTATATATATCCTTTAATTCCCTCCAGAGCCTCCGAATATTTTTTCTTTTATTAATACTTGCTATGTAGTCAATATTTTAAATCAACCAATCTCAAATTTAGTAAAATCCATCTAGATATTTTTGTGTAATACAATATCAGACAAAGATTAAGAATCAGGATGGTTCGTTTTTTGTAAAGGTAGCAAACATATAAACTTGATATTGTCTTGAAAAAATGAAGACTTAAGGTTTCTGTAACTGACTTTAGGAGACTAGAGGAGAAAAAACAATCTTGAGTTTGAGTAGTTTCTAAGAATAGATTGAGAATGAACCAGAAGCATAAAGAATTTAGATTTATGAGTGAAAAGGAATGGAATTAGACCATCTCATAAAATGAGATTGAAGTTTGTCTTTAAGGCAAATTAGGAAACACTTATTGACTGGCCAATGAATATGAGGTATTATGCTAGGAATTTGAAATACAGGAGTGAAAACAGATGCCCTGCCATAGAGACACTTTCACTTTAGAAGCAAAGACAACACTGGTAATAATAAAATGAAAATGGCAAGTGATTTTTTTTAGGGTTTAGTAAGTGGGAAATGCACCTAATTTCACCTTGGGGAGGCACTGGCAAATTTCTGAAGGAAAAAAAAATTGAGAAGTGAAATGAATATGTATAACAAGAGCAGGACAAGTGCAGACTCATGGGACTTAAGAATCATTATTGGGCGAAGTAGAACAGCTTTTCCATCATATTGATTCTCTGAGGAAAATGTCTGACTTTGTTTTGTTTTTCAAGCTTGCATTGTAATACTTCACATCATTTTTGTTCTTGTTTAATGACTTGATCAGATAAGAGAATCATAGTCACCAAGTACTTTCTTGGGGAGTCACCCTTCATTCATTTTCTACACCAACAGGATTCTTGACGAGCTTAGCAAACTGATGCCATCCTGTAATTATTAGCTAGATTTTATCTGGACCTTTTAATAGGACTCTAATTTTAAATTTGGTTTCACTTGCTTTTAAGGCTGGCCTCAATGCCTGAAACAAGGAACCTGTGTTTTACGTCTGTATTGTGCATACGTGAATGTTCTGAAATAAGGGTCAGATGTACAACATTCTTTAGAAGTGTTCTCTTGTGTGTTAAATGCACGGGAATGTGATAGAAGCAAAGATGTGACTCTGTGAAGAGAAATAACTTTTATTATATTAATGACAGCAATGAATTCTTAATTCTCAGCCACAAAAATGATAAAATACAATGGGATTTTCAAATGTAAAATAAAATATCTGTACTCAGATCATTGCTGCAGAGATAAAGTAAAATATTATTATACAACTCTAAAGTGACATGAAAAGAATGCAACTGTTAAACCAAATGGCTCAAAGCGTAGCCATTACTATTTTTCTTAAATATTCCCCAAATTTAATATTTGATGGGGTGTGAAATTCCACCATCAGCACATAATTTATCTTTTGTTTTAATATTAATCCGTTACTGACACACTGAGTAATAGATATATAATTTGCTTATGCTGTATATCTGATTTTCATGAATGCGGATATCTGACAGTCATCCTTGCTCTCTCCCTCTTCCTTAACCACTGGCACCTTAACAATCACTGAATCCTACTACTTCTTCCTGCTAAATAGTGCCCAGTTATCTCCATTTCCACTATCAGTACCTACGTTCAGGTATCTCTTGCATAAAACACTAGAAATACACCATCTAGGATAGTCTTTAGTTGATGGGTATCCAAGCGCAATGACAGATATGCTCTCATTTGAGAATCTGAGAAATGTTCTTTTTGGCTGTTATTGTATAAGAGAGGTAGGTCTTTATATTAGCATTCTAGAACTTTCTAACAAATTATGAAAAATTGGCTGCTTAAAATAACAAAAACATGTTCTCCCATAGTTCTGGGGCCTGGAAATGTAAAATTAAATTATTGACAGGGCTACTCTTTCTTCAAAGACTCTAGGGGAGAATTATTTCTGCCTTTTCTAGGCTCTGGTGGCTCTAAGAGTTCTTTGGCTTATGGCAACATAACACTAATTTCTGCCTCTGTCTTCATGTGGTCTTCTACTCTTTGTTTTTTGTCTCCTTCCCTTCTCTTTAAGAAAACTTGTCATTGGTTTTAGGGTGCATCCTAATCCGGGATGATTTCATCTCTAGGTCCAACAGCTAATGCTTGTTATCTTTGCATTCATGTTTGACATTCTAACATTAAGATTGTTGAAATACCTCTCAAATTTCTGTTTAAATCCTGCCTGGACATCAACCTTGCTCAGACTTAGGTTTAAATCTCTTAGCACCATGAAAGCCTCACAATTAAGAGTTAGGTATATATCAGAGAAATAAATGATAACAAAAAAGTATATCATTATTGCCCTCATAGGAAGAAACTCTGGAAACATTCCAGGGTGAAAACCTGTAAGGTGGATAGTTGGATAAATAGATGCACTGAGAGATAAGATGACAAAAGGGTAAATGAAGTTTACCTCCTTATTTGTTCTCTGACCTATGCCCCCTCAATGAAACACTTCTAAATGCCTATGTAAGTATTTTTTAAATAATTTTGGAGGAGACATAAATCCATTACAATAAAAGATATTCAGTACAAATGAATCAGAGATCACTTGTTGATATTTTTCCTGCTAAAAGTATGATGCTAGGACTGGATTGTTCTCTTTTTTCTCTCCCCATAATGTTCTTAAGGATTTTTTTCTTTGTCTTGTGTATATATATACACATCAATTACTGTTTACTTTTACCTAGTTCACTATAACTTTTTTTCTTACTAAACAATAACATAGGAAATTGTATTTCACTAAATTTCCCTTTATTTCTAAATATTGCAGGTTAGGATATTCTCTAAAATATATTAAAGAGTTCTAACCTGATGGAATATATAAAAATCATACTCTTGCGTTTAGTAATAGTAAAGAAACACACAGATTAGTGAAATATGAATAAATAGCTTATCATATGTAGACTGTATCTGTGTATTGTGCCAGTCATTCAGATGTTTAACATTTTTATTTACTTATTTTTAGGTAGAAAAAATATGTAGACTAACAACCGTAAATCAACAAATATGTATATAAATTGTAGTCAAACAGTGGAAAAATACTAAAATGAGAACATATCTGTCTCTCCTGATTTTATATATTTCCCCATTTTAGACAGTCAGGCAGTCCTCTATAGAATCAAGGATATAGTTTGGTTTGAGGACTCAGCTTGCTCATAACAGAGAGCTAATATATTTTCTGAAAAGTATGGATTCCATTTTCCATCTTGCATCTTCAGCAATTTTTTAAAAAGTTCTGATAGTAGTTTTTTTAGTGGCAATATGTAGAAAAAACTCAATTTAATTTTGGTTCCTAGGTTGACTCTGCAGTGCTTGTAGAGTCTTTCATTATTGTTTTACTTCCAAACTGCATTTCTATTTTAAAGTTGAAAATATCCAATAACATCAACTGATTGCAAGGGAGTAGAGTGAAGAAAGGATGGGATGAAAAGTTAGAAATGACAAACTAAAGCCATATTTTAATGCTGAAACACAGAGTTTATAGTGTTTTTGAATACGTGTGGTAGGTCATTCAGGTATTTAGTGTTTTCGTCCATTGAAATTTCTGTCTGTTTTCTTAGATCCCTCATGAAATGTTACTACCCTACATGCCATACTATTTCCCAGAGTTTTGGTAGTCTGCTTGTAGCCTAATTTTTAAATCTTAGCATTCCTGGGATACAAATTGTATTGGAAATTTGAGACATTAAACATTTAGAAAAAAAATCATGATGCATTTTATTACATTAGGGGTTCATGGGATGTAAATACTCCTAATTAATGATGATTAGGTAATAGATTATTATTTTCAAGATATACTTTCAAAATAATTCACAGGGAGTGATTTTAGTAAGAAGAATGTAATCCTCTTACAGGGGAGGTAAGCAGAATTAGTTTCATAGAGGAAGCTTATTATGTAGTGTGACTTGATGGCTTCCAAAGAGCCCTACTGCTTAACATACATATTCCATGGATTTTAATAGTTTATTAAATAATCTAATTTCCACATCCTAATTTTACATTTTCTAGAGAAAACACACTTTGTGAGGTAAGGAATATATACTCTTATTGACTGAAAAATTAGATTTTTCCAAGAACTTTAAGAATGGAACATGAGGTTACTGTGTATGAAAAGCAAAATTCAGAAAGTTTAATCTGTGAAGTACATCAAAGAGGGCAATTCTTTGGTGCTGATAGTAAGTGAACGAAATGAATCTTCAGGTGATAGCTTAAAAATGTCAAAAACATAGAGTGGGAGGTGTATAAAGTAGAAAATAGTCATATTTAAAGTCACTGTTTCATTAATACGCACATGGATAAAGCATTTTATAATAGTCATTATAACATAGCTCAAATTAAATAACTTATTTATTAATTTCCTGCATGCCTGAAATCATACCTGCCTTCATGTCCCCATCACATGGAGAGACTCCTGGCTGGATAAGTTGAGAAAGAGCCATTGGTCCTTAAAGCTGCTATGCTTCTCTACTATTTCATGAGTTGATGTGGTTCACCCCTTTAATAACTGGCCCAGGGACCAGAGATATAATTCATGCTATACATGAAAGAAATACTCCTGAAGATGTTGGAATTCAATATTCATTGAATTAGTGAATATTGTGTTTTATTTGTTTGAACCTTATTCTATCATTTCTTTCTCTAGTTTTTCAATCTGCTTTCTTGTGTCTCTCTTATTTAGCTGTTATGCTATCTTTTCAGCTTTAACATTTTGGATCTTTTTCTTATTTACATATAATTTTACTGCCTGGTATGGTATCTCATTAACTCCAAAACTGAGCAAATTTTATTGATTACCCATAAGTCATAAATCCTGCAATTATAATATGACTGTGAAGGATCTATGACCCTTTCCTATCCTATCTTCTTTCTCTTCCAAAGCAATGGTTCCTGTGTTTCTGTAGTTAAGATAAAAACCATTTGTTTATCAATATTTTAAGATATTTGATTGACCATAAAGTGCTCGGCATGCCATGGTGATCAAGTAATGTCTGTACCAAGACTTACCTAGAGAGAATTTTACTAGATTTAGCAAGGTCTAAATTTAAAATAACAACTAAGGATTCTGTCATCCTTCATATTTTCCTTCTTATAAACAGCAGGTTTGGCCTCTGTATGTGTGTTGAGGTGGGCAGTGGAGATAGGAGAGATTGAGAGTACTTTTGTTTTCAACTGGGCAAAAGGCATACAAATCTAACATGTATAAAGTACTTTTATCACAAAAAGCAGAGCTTGTTGCAATCTTTACTATTTGTCTTGAGAGATCCTGTCTGTTTTTTGTAAGTTCTTGCTGTACAATAATCTGCAAGATTCTCATGCATTCTGAGAAATCTAGATGTTACTGGAACACATGAGGCTTTAGGACAATCTTCAAAACATAAGAAAAATAATTAGAAATGTGCATCTTTTGACTTTCATGCATATAGATTCTTTTTTTAGAATTGGTCGTTTTTGTTCTGGAAGCATGTTTCTTTAGCAGGAGTCATCTTAACTTCAGTAGAAGGAATCTATTATATGTAAACCACTTCCAGGTTTGAAAGGTTTTAGCTTCCACCAGACTTGACTAATATATTTCATTGCTCAATTTATATATTATAGCTCATATTAAAGTCAGTACAAACTTACATCTCGAAAACAGATTATTAAATAGTGATTCATGATTCATTTGATAATCAACATGATTTTACTTACAGTATTCCCCTTTTCCTGCGGACTCTCATCTATGCTGCTCTTAAAAGCTATACATCCTGGGTGTGGCATGACACTGTAGGAAGTCCTCAAAACTAATCAGGGCAGGGGAAATAATGTTGGAAATGAATTTGAGAATTTGTTTTCTCTTCCATATTCTAAAACAGCTAGCAAGTCAGTTACATTCATCTTGTGAGCACTTAACTTAGTTACCAAGTGTGGAAATAAAAAACAAATAGTTCATTTGACTTCATTTTTACAGAAATACAAGGGAATGGGGTAAAATTAGTGCTTAATATGAATGCTGGAGGTTAAAAAGTCACCCATTATTCAGGAAAGGAGTGGCTGGAAGGGTAACACACTTGCAGAAAATAATTTCTTGTGTGGACCAAAACTGAATGTTGCTCTCTGAATGATCATATTATATTGTATGTATAGGTTATTCAAATATAATAGAAAAACTTAAAACAATGTGCAGGCTTTGGGGTCAATATACTATTCTGTTTTGTGACAAAGCCTATCTTATACAGACCTGATTTCACGACACTATCCAAGTACCATTAGAAGTAATCTTCGGAGAGGTTATATTTCTAGGTAATCATTATGGCCTGTGTATTTAACCAAATCTAGAATCCATTATGTCATATAGAGTGGTGATGATTCTTGTTAGATAGCTATATGATGGAATTACTGTTTTGCATTATAAATTAAGTGTTCAGTTGATCTGATGAAAGTTGATGAAGCCTCAGTAGAGACAATTCTACAGATTGTGTCTTGTAAGACACAATCTTACAAGTTTACACAAAATTACAATCTTACAATTCTTGAAAATGAATTATATACTTAGTTCCAAATAAAACACAATATTTACTAAATTAATTATGTACAAGTTCCAAATTCATACCTTTGCTAAAACCTGCACTCAATCTGTTTTTATTTTTAAGACCACTACTCCGAGACTTTAAATGAAAGAGAGCATTACAATAGAATTTCACCATTCTGTATTATAGGGCATTCACCTTCTTTGATAAAGCACTGTTCTATTTATATTCATATTTCAGGTTACTTTATTAGGTTACTTTAAATTTAGGGATAACACCAAGTTACATTTTAAGTCAAACTTTAAGAGTAGATGAATGCCCATTAGAAAAATCAGCACAAAATCTAAAATGGTCCTCAGATACAGAATTAAATCAATTAAGATTGTAAGGCCAAATGATGTGTATGATATTTATAATATTATTTAAAAGGGTGAAATTTTATTATCCTAGCCAAATCCCTCTCAACTTACACTTTATAGATCACTGATATTATTGTCAACAGATATTTCCACAGCAAAGGACAATAAAGGATTACTCAATTTTGGGGTAAATTTCAGAGTCTAGACATTACACAACTGATCTTATTCTATTAGAACAAAATACTAGTTTGTTCTGAAATATAAGGGTTTCATAGAATATTCAATGCCAAAAGTATATGAATATAGGGACATTTAATCCAGAAGTAGCATTTAGGAAAGAAGATACATTTTTCCTAGAAACAGAAAATGTATACTCAAGCAACAAATAAATTTATCAATATCTATGATTTAAAAACCACCTTTCTAGGTGTAGGGAGAGATTATAATAAAGAAAACATGTATAGAGGCTATAAACTTCAAAATTGGTTTGGATACTAATGATATAAACATAGGAAAAGCGAAATGTCAGTAAAAGATAATCACAAAGTACTGGGCAGAATAATGGTCTTCATCTTCATAAATAAGATCCCAGGTTCTCAGTTACAAGAAAAAAGGATGTGTCACACTAAAATAAAACTGGTTTTGGCATCAACATTAGAAGAGAAAATGTGCAGCTAGGTAGCCTCATCTACTATCCAACATGCCACTTAGACAGACTAGCTGCACTCAATCTGTTTTTATTTTTAAGACCACTACTTCCAGACCTTAAATGAAAGACAGCATTACAACAGAATTTCTCCATTCTGCATTATAGGGCATTCACCTTCTTAGATAAAGCACCATTCTATTCATATTCATAATCCAGCAACTAAACTAGGTATTCATGTAAATGAAATAATTTTATTTAAATTGTCATCTAGAAAGTAATCCACTTTAATGAATACTATTAAAAATGCCCTTGCCTGTCCTCCTCACCACAAATGATATCCGTAAGGGAAAGAAAAGGAAATTGGAAATTCAGAGACACAGAGTTCAGCTTTCTCCTAAAAACTGGTCTGCAGCTGGGAATTTTAAATGCAAGATAAGAATACCACAGAGAATGGAGACAATACAAGCAAGAAAGAAGATCCAAAATGAAGAGCAAGGTTGGTGTGTCAAATGGCGAAAAGCAAAAACGTATTTTCTTTGCATTTGACTTGGGGAAAACTCTCTAGTTTCAGTTTCTCAAGCGGCAGAATCTACGAAAAGCAATTCAACAAGGGCTGGAACTATATCCTGAAGTGTAGTAGTGTCTTGGGACTGCTGTATGTAACAGCAAACAATTTTTTTTTGAAACACAGCATCTTGATCATGTTCAACTTATTTGATTATTAGAGTTCCAAGATATTGCCCAATCTGAGGTGATCTCAGATGTCTACTTTGCTTTAAAAAATGTGCTGTTAATCAAGTTCCAAATTCATACCTTTGCTAAAATGGTTTCTCTGGACTTTGTGTACTTACGAGTCTGCCAGCCTTTGGTAGGCACTAGTGATGACCTGAAGAATTCTAGTAACCAAGTCTTAAATCTTTAAGTTTAATCCAAGCACCTTGTAAACAACTCCATATCATTAAAAGGTAATTTACAAGAAGACTAGCAGTACATAGATGTGGGGAGAAATTAATGTATACTACTAAAATCCAGGAAAATAGCCTGGGTAGGGATGAATGGGTAAAATAAATACGCTCCTAAGACACAAAGCCGCAGGACACTTGGAGGATAACAGAGAACACTTGCTTTGCTTCTTGAAATCAACTTTTTTTTGTTAATCCCACAAATAGGTAGAATGTCTGACAATAGTCAAACATATCTAGCTGTTACACCACTCTTGGCTCCAAAAAGCCTTTCTGCATTATCCCTTTCACATCTTTTCTGTATTCTTTTCTGTATTCTCTGTATTCTTAAACTATGTAAAAGGATATATCAAGTCTCTAAGCATTGCATGCACCCCAAATAAAGGCTTATTCCAAAAAAGCCGATGTTTTTCAATGATTACCTATTTTAGTTTATGCCATTCCAATAAGAAGTCATCACTTTGGCTTTAGATGCTAGCCTCTTGCATCAGTCTGAACTTAAGGCTCTGAGCTTGCTCTTTCATAGCTTTAGAAACAGATTTAGAAATATTTTTTTTATCCTCTGAGAAAATAACACTTTCTTTTAGAATGACAAGTGATACCAAATTACTAATATTTCTGTCCCACCGAATTGTATCAAATCAATGGTCAAAACTAAGTATTTCCTCCCAAAATGTGTGCGTGTGTGTGTGTGTGTGTGTGTGTGTGTGTGTGTGTGTTTTGAAAGACAAGGGTCAGCATGGTAAAATAGCCATCAAACCAATGTGGCTGTTGCTTTTTTTGAAGAATAGAAAGCATTTTGGAAAAAAAAATAGATGTCAATTAAAGATATTAGGTTGTGTCATTTCTTATTTATTATTTGCCACTTTTGTTACCTGTCATTCATAATATAATATTTTTTTCTAGCAGTTTTACCCATTTATGGGATTAACAAAAAAAGTTTGATTCAAGAAGCAAATCAAATGTTGCCCATTTTAAGCTCTTTCTTAACCTGACATTTCCCAAAAGGAATAACATTGAAATCCAGTATTCACGATCTCTCTTAAAGTTAATGCCTTCAATGACTCAGAATGAATATAAATGATAATTACTTCAAATTGAAATTTAAGATTAATTCTGTGGATTGGCAAACTTTCAATTTGTGCTCAGATCCCCATGGCTGACCCTTTTTGTGTGAGATAAAAATCTAAAAGCGTAATAGTCATTAATTATCATTTTTCTTTTTTTATTCCTTATTTGAAAACATCTCTTCATGTGAAGCCTACTTTACTTGTTCACAAATATAAATAAGAGATGTTTTCACTCTATGATCTTGCCACTTCTTTTTAGATCTCTTGTTTGATTTGTTTGTATGGAAGTCTTAAAGTCCATTTTATTTAGCTTTTTTCTTGTGTGGCATGTTTTGTGTGAAGGTTATTATGAGTGTGGCATCAGTCAACTTGGCCTATTAAATGTTTTATTGAGCAGAGCTCCAGCATTCATAATCTTGTTTAGAAAACAGCACTTTTGAGATTAGACACTAATGAAGAATTTCATCTCTGTAGTTCTTTGTATTTGTTTTGTTTTGCTTGTCCAATTCTGCATTATAAAATTCAGGTTAAAGGTTTTTATTTTGTTTTGTTTTGTTTTTTTCACTTAAAGAACTTTTTTTTTTTTTAGACAGGGTCTCTCTCTGTCGCCAGGCTGGAGTGCAGTGACTCGATCTCAGCTGTCTGCAACCTCCACCTCTGGGTTCAAGTGATTCTCCTGCCTCAGCCTCCTGAGTAGCTGAGATTACAGGTACTCACCACCATGCCCGGGTACCTTTTGTATTTTTAGTAGAGACGGGGTTTCACCATGTTGGTCAGGCTGGTCTCAAACTCCTGACCTCATGATCTGCCCACTTCGGCCTCCCAAAGTGCTGGGATTACAGGCGTGAACCACCACGCCCAGCCCCAGCCAGGACTTTTAAAAAATATATTAAATTTAAGAGATTTAACTGTGTGTGTGTTTTTATGTATATTGTATATATAATATGCACAAAATATATACAAAAATATATATTGTATTATATATAATATACACAAAAACACCCAATATATGTATTATATATAATATACAAAAACACACGCACAGTTAAATACACAAATATGTAAATAAATATATACAAATATATATAAATATGTATATTTATATATGTATTATATATAATATATACACATATATGTATGTATTATATATTTATATGTGTACATATATTTATACATATATTTTATATATGTATTATATATAATATCTATTTATATTGTATGTATTATATGTTGTTTGTATATATAGTATGTATAAGTATATTATTATAAACACATTTATATTTATATTGCATGTATTATAGTATGTATGTATAGTATGCATATGTATATATGTATTATATATAATATATTATGCATATGTATATATGTATTATATATAATAATGCATATGTATATATGTATTATATATAATATATAATGCATATGTATATATGTATTATATATAATATATAATACATATATAAATACATATATTTTTATATACACATATACATATATACATATAATACATATATAAATATATGCATGTGTGTATATTATATATAATACATCTATAGTACATCTATAAATAGATGTATTATATACACACACACACACACACACACACACAACACAGACAGGGAGAGGGAGACTTAAAACTTAATCAGGGTGTGTATTTTCAGATTAGTCATTGTCAATAAAACCAATAAATTTTAAGAATGAAAGCTTTACATTCAGACTGCACAGGTTTATATCATGGTTCCACTACTCAATGTCTATACTATATTTAACAAGTCAAATAATTTATCTTATTTAGGTTTTCTCATCTGTAAATGAGGATATCTCTCTCATAATAGCCTTGTGAATAAAACTTGAGATAATCCATGAAATTAATTACTTAGCACAAAGCTTGAAATAGTAAATTGTCCCTAAATCAATTATTGTTAATAATCAATATCATTACAATTTTTCAAGAAAGAAGATGCCGGCACTTCTAAATTTACATGACGTTCTGCTTTCTTTTTGTGGCAGATGGGAAAGAAGTATAGTCCTTACTAAAGCTTTATTGCCGAGAATAGTAATATATATATTATATATATGTATTTGTTTTTTAAATTATACTTTAAGTTCTAGGGTACATGTGAGAGCACTTGGACACAGGGTGGGGAATATTTTTGATACATTACAGCTTTACAATGAAGTCAAATTTCCTATTATGTGCTGAAGTAAGAAAACTATTTAATGTCTTGGGCACCAACACCCCCTGACTGGCAGTGGCTTTCTGGTCAATGTGCTGATAAAGATTGTGTTACTGAAAAGGAGCTCAGTGGGAACCAGTGCAGGGATGGATTACGAATGTCTGCCGTAGCAGAATGATAAGTGGCAACACATTTGGTGTGTTTGCTGACTTTCTTCCAGACGTGGTACTTCTTTCTTATTTTTTCCCATTCCAAGCCATTCTGATAGAAAAAAATTTTATTGAAAGCCTCTTCTGCATATATTGAAATAATTATGTGATTTTTGTTTTCAGTTCTGTTTATGTGATGAATCACACTTACTAATTTTCATATGTTGAACCAACCTTGCATCACAGGAATAAATGCTATTTGATCTTGGTGCATTATCTTTTTCATGTGCTGCTGAATTTGGTTTTCTGGTATTCTGTTGAGGATTTTTGCATCCACATTCATAACGGATATTGGTGTGAAGTTTTCTCTTTTATTTGTTGTATCTCTAGCAAACAAATCCAAGTGGCTTCTAGAATAAATTTGATGAAGATTGAAAGAGATATTGGCAGACCTAAAACTACTGGTTAATATTTGCAACATAAAACAGTGTTAACCACAAGATTCTACACTCAAGTCTAAAGCATGACACATTCAGAATAGAGAAAGCTAGTTAAATGGTATTTAATATTAAAGAGGTTAAAAATTAAATTTATTCAACATGATTAAAAAGTTGATAAAGCTTCAAACAATGTCTATTCTAATAAATATTCCACCAGAAAGGCGAGGTGATCATCCTATGATATACCACATAGAAAGTCTATGTAGGAAATTTTGCTTTTTATTCTAGATAGTAGTTATTAGAAGACACAATTTAAAGCATGCTTATATTTAGATAACAACAACAATAAACAGAGAAACTAAATAATTCGTTTGCCTGTAGAATGACAGTGATGAGTTAGGGGATATAATTTTTACAATCTACAATCTAGTATTTGATAAGCTTTTCAGGTGAGAGAGAGGTACAATAGTAAATGGTATTGTATGTACACAAAGAATCTAAGCTAGAGCAATACAGATTTCATCTCAATAAAAGCATGAATTTTTTTTATTGTAAAAATCACATACCAGCTGCTATAGTATTCAAGGTATGACTTTTTTTACTCAGACAGATATGAATTCAAGATGTGGTAGTGTCACTTAACAAATGTGTAACCTAAGGAACCTGAGGCAATCCTCTGAGCTTCAAATTCATATTCTGTAAAAGGCAGATAACAGCACTTCCATTGAACTATTAAGGGATCAAATAACAGTGTATATAAATATCTTAGCACAGTGCCTGTCACAAAAAAAAAAAAAAAACTCAATAAATGTACCTGAGCAGTCAGAGCTCTTGAGAGCAAACAACAGATTCTATTAGTTAAAATTACATTTGGCTGAAAGTGACTACAAAATCCAAATTCAAAAATCTCAATTGATTAGAGTTGTAAATTGCTAAACAAAGCACACTACATTGGCTTTCATCAAACTTTTATCACTTTTCCACTTACCTCTTACCTTACAAATAACTATAGATTGGAACATAAAAACTTATTTCAGTCTCTAGCTGGGGAAATATATCTTAAAATAGTTGACACTGCCAATATTCCTAGGAAGTAGAACCCATGCATGCATAGATTTAGCAGAATTGGATTTCTTTCTTTCTTTTTTTTTTTTCTTTTTTTTGAGACGGAGTTTTTGCTCTTGTTGCCCAGGCTGGAGTGCAATGGCGTGATCTCGGCTCACTGCAACCTCCGCCTCCAGGGTTCAAGTGATTCTCCTACCTCAGTCTCCCGAGTAGCTGGGATTACAGGCATGTGCCACCACAACTAGTCAAATTTTTGTATTTTTCGTAGAGACGGGGTTTCTCCATGTTGGTCAGGCTGGTCTAGAACTCCCGACCTCAGGTAGTCTGCCCACCTTGGCCTCCCAAAGTGCTGAGATTACAGGCATGAACCACCGTGCCCAGCCAGAAATGGATCACTTTCTGAGCAGATTTTTCATTTTTTGAGACAAAGGCTCACTTTGTCTCCCAGACTAGAGTGCAGTGGCACGATCTTGGCTCACTGTAACCTCTATGTCCCGGGTTCAAGCGAATCTCCTGCCTCAGCCTCCCAAATAGCTGGTATTACAGGTGCCTGCCACCACGCCCCACTCATTTTTGTAATATTTAGTAGAGATGGAGTTTTACCATGTTGACCAGGCTTATCTCAAACTCCTGACCTCAAGTTACCTGCCCGTCACAAATGCCAAAGTGCTAGGTTTACAGTCATGAGCCACCAGGCCCAGAGCAGATATTAATGAGGATCTCATGTCCCAGAGGAAACAGTGATAAATGTCCGTATGCTATAGTATCAGAATTACTAAAACTGACCTGTGGTGAATCAAGGTGGAATATAGATTTTAGGAACACACTAGCTTATGCAATAGCTGTAGAAGCAGTGTTTAATGGGACCATAACTGAAGGACAGACTGTGCTTAAAGTCAAGCAAAATATTTCATATTAAATGTGCAAGAATTAGAAGGGAGACAAAATTATTAGTAACTATTGCAGATCTCCAACTCAAAAGTCAGGAAAATAATAAAGAAATAGGACCTTTGAGGCCTAGGATGGTGCATTTGTGCTGGATATGTTTGAGACTGTAAATCCATAATTTTTTTTATTTCCATTTTTATGGGTACTTGGTAGGTATATATATTTATGGGGTACATGAGATATTTTAATACAGACATATAAATGCATAATAATTTAAGCCCCCAAATTAATATGAACACCATGAGATTAAAATTCCTACTATTTCTTGCTAAACTATAGCTGGTTTCTATGGCCTGAAGACTATACAAAAGTTTCATTTAAGGTGAAAATCTAAAAAGATGATTCTTACCCCCCTGAAGACCTGCCTGTATCTCTCCTCATTGGTTCTAGACTATGATTGATAGGTAATGGCAGAGCCTGATGAAAGTAATACTGTCCCCACATGGGAGGAAAGTGATTATTCATCAAATAACTGCAGGCTGTGACTAATTTGTACCAATGGGAACTAGAATAATTTGCTTAGGAATGGATTTTGAGACTATTGAAACAAGGTCCCTTAGGCTTCTCTAAAAGATAGCAGGTACAAAAACTACCCAACTGAGAATTCTGCCATGGGTTTTACATGAAGAATGAATAAGTTTTTGTTTTATAAGTCATTGAGATTGTACCCCCTACTTGAAATTATCTCAGAACTAATTTAAATACATTATCATTTAAACAATACTGTCACAGGCTAAAGACTGGAAATTCAAGGCCTGTATTTAACATACAAGCATGTGGTGTTTAGAAGACATTGGATACTTTTTTTAAAGAGTGAATGAGAATGCCTGTAACTGGGGCATGTGCAAGTGAGATCATTGTCAGTACTATCCCCCACAACCTCATATCTGCGTATTTTCACAGGTTTTAGTTAATTATTTACCTCCTGGAGATGTCCGAAGCCATTATTCTTTTTTTAATAATTGAAATTATTTTATTTTGGTTTTATGCATATGTATTAAATATTTCCGACATGAATACCTCTGAATCATTCCTCATCTTTATATTGCTTAGTATCAATAGGTACTTAGTAAAGGTTTCTTGAGCAATAAATATATTTTGAATTTCATTCAAACTTTGCTGTAAGAAGACATCTTGATTGTCCAACTACTAAAGAAGATACAATTCCCACAAAGAGGGAATAATAGATACTGGGGCCTACTTGGCATGGAAGGGTTGGAAGAGGGCAAGGATGGTTGTGAACCTTGAAAACTTGCGACAGGTCTCAGTTAACTTAGGAAGTTTATTTTGCCAAGGTTGAGGAAACATGTCTGTGACACAACCTCAGGAGGTCCTGAGTACACATGCCCAAGGTAGTCACAGCACAGTTGGTTTTTATACATTCTAGGGAGACATGAGACATCAATCAACATATGCAAGGTGAATATTGGTTTGGCCTGAAAATGTGCAACATCTCAAAGCAAAGGCAGGAAGACTCAAAGCACGACAAGGCTTCCAGATCATAGGTAGATAAGAGACAAATTGTTGCATTCTTTTGAGTTTCTGATTAACCTCTACAACAGAGGCAATCAGATATGCATTTATCTCAGTGAGCAGAGAGGTGATATTGAATAGAATAGGAGGTAGGTTGGCCCTAAGAAGTTCCCAGCTTTACTTTTTACTTTAGTTTAGTGATTTGGTCGCACCAAGATTTATTTTCCTTTCACAAGATACTATACCTATTATCCAATTAAGGAGATAATCTGCATGTATACCATACCTCTGTGACATGCAATTTGCCCATGTAACAAACCTGCACATGTGACCTCTAAAGCTAAAATAAAATTTGGAGAGAAAAATAAAATATTAATCTCATATTTGTTTTCTTCTACCCATGAGAATTTAAGTTATATGTAGACAGAGTGAGTGTTTTGACTTTTTTATTCACTTTATTTCCCCAGTGCCTAGAGCCAAGCCTAGAACAAAGCTAGTAATTTATAAATATTTGTTTAACCAACAAATGACATCTAATATTACTTATATAGGCGCATTAGCATGTTCTCACACTGCTATATAGGACTTCCGGAGACTGAGTAATTCATAAAGGAAAGCGGTTTTATTGACTCACAGTTCCACATGGCTAGGGAAGCCTCAGAAAACTTATAATTATGGCAGAAGGGGAAGCAAACACATCCTTCTTCATAGGATGGCAGGAAGGAGAAGGGCTGAGCAAAAGGGGGAAAAGCCCCTTATAAAACCATCAGATCTTGTAAGAACAGCAGCATGGGGGTAACTGCCCCCATGATTCAATTACCTCCTACTGGGCCTTTCCCACCACATGTCAGGATTATAGAAACTGTAATTCAAGATGAGATTTGGGTGTAGTCAAACCATATCAATAGGCATAGGAAAATTATATTATTATTCCAAATTATGCTGAAAGTATTATGTTCCTTTAGCATTAAAACCATCATGGTGTAACAAAGGTAAGATATGGTACAGCTCCTACTTATAGAACAAAGTAATTATTCAAACTATGGCCACAATATGCTGGTTAACCACCCTAAACTCTGCACATACGACAATAAGCATTTTAATAGTTTTATTGAGCTAGAATTAACATAAAACAAACTGCACATTTTTAGAGTACAATTTGATAAATGTTTACATATTATCACACCTGTGAAGCCATCAGTAAAATCAAGAGAATGAACATATTGTTCATCCCCAAAACTTTTCTCACTTTCTATCACTAAAATTAGTTTGCATTTAATAAGATTAGCTATCATTTATTATTAGTAGTATTTTGCAATATGACAAAGCTTTATTTAGCTCACAAGTCTTCAAGTTATTTAAAGGTTGACTGATATAGGCTTAAATTGTGTCTGTTTTACATGCTACTCATACTCCTTAAAAGACAAACAAGTTGCCCAGGTATATTCATCCCCTGAAAATGACGGTGGTACAAAGCAAGAATCCTAAATACACAAGGAATCTTTAAGCATTTGATCATATCATGCCATGAACATTCTATTGTCTGAAACAAGTTTCATAGCCAATCTAAAAGTCAAGGAGTGGAAATATATACTTTCTTCTTCAGTGGAAGAAACTGTGAAGCTACCTGGCAACAGATTTTGATACAGGGATGTGGGGGGAATGTGAGAAGTGAGTAATTGTACAGTTAATAATATTAGTCATATCATGATACAGAGTTGCTTACTCTATTTTGTAAATGCTATGAGAAAATTTAAAATTACATATCCAGTTGGCATTATATTTTTATTTGACAGTGCTGACTAGAGAGAAGATTGACCTTCTAAAACTAAGTTTTCCCCTAAATAATTCATTTAATTTTAGATGTATTTAACAAAAGTATAACTGAAAACATAAAAATATATGCATAATAGTAGGCCCATATAAATTCTATGTTAAGAAAAATGGAGAAAAAAATATATATATATTGTATTTGAAACAGGAACATTTTTCCTCAAATTCTCATAATAATTGCATATAAAATAAAAATTAGGCATCTTTTTTTAAAAGAAAATTATTTTTATTTTAAGTTCTGGGATGCAAGTGCAGTATATGCAGGTTTGTTACATAGGTAAATGTGTGCCATGGTGGTTTGCTGCACCTATCAACCCATCACCTAGATATTAAGCCCTGTATGCATTAGCTATTTTTCCTGATGCTTTCCCTTCCATGACCCCAGACAGGCCTCAGTGTGTGTTGCTCCCCTCTCTGTCTCCATGTGTTCTCACTATTCAGCTCCCACTTATAAGTGAGAACATGCGAAGTTTGGTTTTCTATTCCTGCATTAGATTCCTGAGGATAATGGTTTTGAGCTCCACCCATGTCCCTGCAAAGGACATGATCTCATTTCTTTTTATGGCTGCTAGTATTCCATGATGTATATGAACCACATTTTCTTTATCCAGTCTATCAATGATGGGCATTTGTGTTGATTTCATGTCTTTGCTATTGGGAATAGTGCTGCAATGAACATACACATGCATGTATCTTTGTATTAGAATGATTTATATTTTGGGAGGTATATACCCAGTAATGAGATTGCTGAGTCAAATGGTATTTCTGGTTCTAGATCTTTGAGAAATTGCCACACCCTCTTCCACAATGGTTCACCTAGTTTACAGTCCCACCAACAGTGTAAAAGCACTCCTGTTTTTCTGCAACCTCACCAACATCTGTTTCTTGACTTTAATAATATCCATTCTGACGTGTGTGAGATGGTATCTCATTGTAGTTTGTGATGTTGAGCTTTTTTTCATGTTTCTTGGCTGCATAAATGTCTTCTTTTGAGAAGTGTCTGTTCATGTCCTTTGCCCGCTTTTTAATGGGGTTATTTCATTTTTCTTGTAAATTTAAGTTCCTTGTAGATTCTGGATATTAGATCTTTGAACAGGTCCTTTACTTCCCTTGTTATCGGTATTCCTAGGTATTCTGTTCTCTTTGTAGCAATTGTGAATGGAGTTTCATTCATGATTTGGATCTCTGCTTGTTCATTGTTGGTGTAGAAATGCTTGTGACTTTTGCCCATTCATTTTGTATCCTGAGAATTTCCTGAAGTTGCTTATCAGCTTAAGAAGCATTTGGGCTGAGACAATGGGGTTTTCTAGATACAGGATTATGTCATCTGCAAACAAGGACAATTTCACTTTCTCTCTTCCCACTTGAATACCCTTTATTTCTTTCTCTTGCCTGATTGCCCTGCTGAGAACTTCCAATACTATGTTGAATAGGAGTGGTGACAGAGGGCATCCTTGTCTTGTGCCAGTTTTCAAGGGGAATGCTTCCAGATTTCTGTATGATATTGGCTATCAGTTTTTCATAAATGGCTCTAATTATTTTGAGATATGCTCCTTTGATACCTAGTTTATTGAGTGTTTTTAACATGTAGGGATTTTGAGTTTTATTAAAGGCCTTTTTCTGCATCTACTGACATGTGGTTTTTGTCTTTAGTTCTGTTTATTTGATGAATTATGTTTATTAATTTGTGTATGTTGAATCAGCCTTGCATCCCCAGGGGTAAAGCCAAATTGATCATGGTGGATAAGCTTTTTGATGTGCTGCTGGATTTTGTTTGCCAGTACTTTATTGAGAATTTTTGCATCAGTGTTTATCAGGGGTATCGGCCTGAAGTTTTCTTTTTTTTGTTGTATCTCAGGTTTTGGTATCAGAATGATGCTGGCTTCAAAAAAGGAGTCAGGGACAAGTCCCTCCTTTTCAATTGTTTAGAATTGTTTCTGAAGAAAGGGTATCAGCTGTTCTTTGTACCTCTGGTCCTGGGCTTATAAATCCATCTGGCCCTGGGCTTTTCTTGGTTGGGAGGCAATTTATTACTTCCTCAATTTCAGAACTTGTTATTGGTCTATTCAGGGATTCAATTTCTTTCTGTTCTAGTCTTGGGAAGGTGTAGGTGTCCAGGAATTTGTCCGTTTCTTCTAGATTTTCTAGTTTGTTTCCGTAGAAGTATTTATAGTATTCTCTGATGGTTGTTTGTATTTCTGTGGAGTCAGATATCCCCTTTGTCATTTTTTATTGTGTCCATTTGATTCTTCTCTCTTTTTTTGTATTAGTCTAGCTAGTGGTCTATTTTACTAACTTTCAGAAAACCAGCTCCTGAATCCATTGATTTATTAAAAGGTTTTTCATGCCTCTATCTCCTTCAGTTCCATTCTGAACTTGCTTACTTCTTGTCTTCTACTCGCTTTGGGGTTTGTTTGCTCTTGGCTTTCTAGTTCCTTTAGTTGTGATGTTAGGAAGTCGATTTGAGATCTCTCTAGCTGTTTGATGTGGGCATCTAGTGCTATAAATTTCCCTCTTAACACTGCTTTAGTTGTGTCCCAGAGATTCTGATACATTGTCTCCTTGGTCTCATTAGTTTCATAGAACTTCTTTATCTCTGTTTTAATTTCATTCATTACTTACCCAGAAGTCATCCAGGAAAAGGTTTTACAATCCACGTAGTTGTGTGGTTTTGAGTGACTTTCTTAATCTTGAGTTCTAATTTGATTGTGCTGTGATCTGAGAGAGTATTTGTTATGATTTCAATTATTTTTTATTTGCTGGGGAGTGTTTTATTTCCAATTATGTGATCAACTTTAGATTAAGTGCCATGTGGTGCTGAGAAGAATGTATATTCTGTTGTTTTGGGGTGGAGAGTTCTGTAGATATCTATCAGGTCCACTTGATCCACAGCTCAGTTCAAGTCCTAAATATGTTTGTTAATTTTCTGTCTCGATGATCTGTCTAATATTGACAGTGGGGTTTTAAAGTCTCCCATTACCATTGCGTAGGAGTCTAGGTCTCTTTTTAGATCTCTAAGAACTTGTTTTATGAATCTAGGTGCTCCTGTATTGGGTGCAATATATATTTAAGATTGTTAGCTCTTGTTGACTTGACCCCTTTACCATTATGTAGTGCCTTTCTTTGTCTTTTTTTTAAATCTTTGTTTGTTTAAAGTCTGTTTTATCATAAACTAGGATTGCAACCCCTGCAATTTTTTCTGTTTTCCATTTGCTTGGTAAATTTTCCTCCATCCCTTTATTTTGAGTCTATATGTGCCTTTGCATTGGATCATGGGTCTCTTGAATACAGCACACTGATTGATCTTGACTCCTTATCCAGCTTGCCATTCTGTGTTTTTTAATTAAAGCATTTAGCTCATTTGCATTTAAGGTTAATATTGTTATGTGTGAATTTGATCTTGTTATCATGATGCTAACAGGTTATTTTGCAGTCTTGTTTATGTAGTTGCTCCATAGTGTCATTGGTCTGTGTACTTCAGTGCGTTTCTGTAGTGGCTAGTAATGGTTTTTCCTTTCCATATTTAGTGTGCTTCCTTCAGGAGCTCTTGCAAGGCTGGCCTGGTTGTGATGAATTCCCTCAGCATTTGCTTGTCTAGAAGATTTTATTTCTCCTTCACTTATAAAGCTTAGTTTGGCCAGATGTGAAATTTTAGATTGGAAATTCTTTTTTTAAGAATGTTGAATGTTGGCCCCCAATCTCTTCTAGCTTGTAGGGTTCCCACAGTTGTTAGTCTGATGGGTTTCCCTTTATAGGTGACATGGACTTTCTCTCTGTCTGACCTTAACATTTTTTCCTTTATTTCGACCTTAGAGAATCTGATGATTATGTTTCTTGGGGTTGATCTTCTCATGGAGTATCTTAGTGGTGTTCTCTGTATTTCCTGAATTTGAATGTTGGCCTGTCTTGCTAGGCTGGGGAAGTTCTTCTGGATGATATCCTAAAGTGTGCTTTCCAACTTGGTTCCATTCTCTCCATCTCTTTCAAGTACCCAAATCAATTATAGGTTTGGTCCTTTAACATAATTCCACAGTTCTCAAGGTTCTGTTCTTTCCTTTTCATTCTTTTTTCTCTAATATTGTCTGCCTGCCTTATTTCACCCAGATAGTCCTCAAGCTCTAATATCCTTTTTTCTGCTCAGTCTATTCGATACTTGTGTTTGCACTGTGAAGTTCTCATGTTGTGTTTTTTAGCTTCACCAGGTGATTTATGTTCCTATCTAAAATGGTTATTCTGGTAGCTCCTGTAGTGTTTTGTTATGGTTCTTAGCTTCTTTGCAATGGGTTAGAACATACTCCTTTAGCTCAGTGATGTTCATTATTACCCATCTTCTGGAGCCTAACTCTGTCAATTCATCCATCTCTGCCTCATCCCAGTTCTGTGCCCTTGCTGAAGATGTGTTGCAGTCATTTGGAGGAGAAGAGGCTTTTGAGTTTCCAGCTTTTTTGCATTGATTCTTTCTCATCTTCCTTGGTTTATCTACCTTTGATCTTTAAGGCTGCTGACCTTTGGATGGGTTTTTTGTGGGGTGTTGGTTGTTGTTGTTGCTTTTGGTTTGTTTTTCTTTTAGCAATGAGGCCTCTCTTCTGTAGGGCTGACAGTGGTTTGCTGGAGGTCCACTCCAGACCCTATTTCCCTGCATCCCTCCTAACCCTGAAGGTATGACCAGTGGAGGCTGCAGAACAACAAATATGGCAGCCTGCTTCTTCCTCTGGGAGCTCTGTCCCAGAGGGGTACCAACCTGATGCTGGCCAGAAGGCTCCTGTATGAGGTGTCTGGAGACCTCTTTTGGGAAGGTCTCACCCAGTAAGGAGAAATAGGATCATGGACCCACTTAAATAAGCAGTCTGGCTGCCCCTTGGTGGGACACTTTTGCTGCACTTGGGGGAATCCTCCTCATCCAGGCTGCCCTGACTCTCCAGAGCTGGTAGGCAGAAAAGACTAAGATCCTTAGTTCTTAGTCTTTTCTGATCTAACAATACTGCTGATCCACAGTACTGCAGCCACCTCTCCTCTCCAGGAGATCAGAGATCTGTCCATAAATCCCTGGCTGGAGATGCTGAAAATCCTTCAGGGAGGCCTCACCTGGTGAGGAAGAATGGGTCAGGGTCCCGCTTAAATGAGCAGTCTGGCCACAAACTGTCGCAGCCACTGTGCTGCACTGTGTAGAATTGCTCCTGGTCCAAATTGCCTAGTCTCACTGGCACCTGCAGCAGGGGAAAATGGTCAACTGGAGCCACAGAGATGATGGCCGCTCCTCGTCCCGAGAACTCAGTCTTCTTAGGCAGTCTCCAGCTTGCTGAGCTGGCCAATGGAGATTCCAAGCCAGTGGGTTTTATCTTGTGGGGCTCAGTGGGAGTGGGGCCCACTGACAGAGACCACTTGACTTCCTAGCTTCAGCCCGCTTCCCACGGGAGTGGACAGATCTCCTGCCTCACCGGAGTTCCCTGAGCCAGAGTATGCAAAAACTTCTGTATTTCAGTGCCTGCCTGAGCTTCTGCACACTCAAGCAGCCACCATGAGTGCATACCTCTGTGCTTGAGACCCAAGGCGCTGGTGACATGGGCTCACAAGGGGACCTCCTCTTCCGTGGGTTGCAAAGACCCTTTGGAAATCCGTAGTTTTCAGGGCACAATACCTCACTGTCTCTCTTGCCTGGGGGAGGGAGATCCCTTTGCCCAATGCAGCTCTGGTGGGCCCTCACTCCACCCTGCTTTTTCTCACTCTCTGGGGGTCTCTCCAACTGCCTAGACAGTCCCAGTGAGAGAACCTGGATATTTACATTGAAGAAGCAGAATTCACTCTCTGTTTTCATTCTTCTCAGTTGCAGCTGCAGAATGAAGCTGTTTCTATTCAGTCATCTTGGCTGTGCCTTCCATGGCCATCTTGGCTGCTCCCTCTGGGCACTTTCAAAATGGCTCTTAAAACAAGTTACCCTTAAAATTTGATTTCTAGAATCAAGGAATTCAACTGAATACCATACCTGATTGAATTTTTGTTAGACTACAGAAGCTAAATAAGAGAAAATTCCATAATGAATCAAAAGAACCCTGAGAGAGTTAACTCCAAAAATATAATATTTCAGTACAGGGAAGAATAATGTAATTCAAATATTGTATATAATTCAGTGTAGGCATTAAAAGTTTAGGACTCATAGAAGGGAGGAAATGTCATTAATTGAAGTTGAATTTTACTTTGAATGATGTGGTTCATTGTATCTTGAAATACATACTATCACACAAGAAAGAAACCCATGAAAATCAATTTGGGAAAGAGCTTTTAAGAGGATGTTTTATGTTTTTAAACAGTTATGGTTGATGCCATTTTTGGTTAAGGTAAAAACATTTTACATACTCTTGGTTATAGCAAATTTCCTCATTCAATTTTATATATGTAGTATAGATTTTCTAGCATCTATGGAAATATGTAATAAGTTGTTCTTTTTTTGTACTATTATAGCCAACAGTTCATAAATTGATTTTATATCCACATGCCAATAGCCCAAGCTTCCCAAAATTAGGCATGAATATAATTGTACACTGAGCCAAACATAACTAACTTAGGTAAATAAAAGCATATATTAATAAAGAGGGCTAAAATCATGAATATTCATTTTAAACAGATTTTTTCTACACTAAACAAATTTGTTATTTAAAAATAAATGTATTAATAGCAAAACAGCCAATTTTTCCCTGCAGCAAAAAGCAAATTTAGATATAATCATTTAATATTGAGAATGATCTTTGACATTACTAATGCGCTTGTCATTACTGACAAATGACATTTATATAAACTTCCCAAAGGAAGTTAAAATGCAGGGTTTTTAAAAATAGATTCAGAAGATATACGTGCAGTTTTGTTACATGGATATATTATGTAATGCTGAGGTTTGCACTTCTATTGAACCCCTCACCCAAATAATGAACTTAGTATGAAATAAGCATTTTTCAACCCTTACTCCCTGTGCTTCCTCACTGCTTTTGGATTCCTTTGTGTCTATTGTTTCCACATTTATGTCTATTTGTAACTATTGTTTGAATCCCACTTAGAAGTTAGAAGAGGAGGTATTTGGTTTTTTGTTTCTGCATTAATTTGCTTACGATAATGGCCTGCAATTATATCCATGTTGCTGCAAGGACCAGATTTAATTCTTTTTCATGGCTACATAGCATTATATGCTGTATATGTTCCACATTTTCTCTATCTAATCCACTGTTGATGGGCACCTACGTTGATATCATGTCTTTGCTATTGCAAGTAGTCCTGTGATGAACATACCAGTGCATGTGTCTTTTTGGTAGAATGATTTCTTTTCCATATGTTTGTTGGTTACTTGGATGTCTTCTGTGAGAAGTATCTTTTCATTTCCTTTGCACACTTTTTAATGTGGTTATTTGCATTTTTTTCTTTTTGAATTATTTAATTTCCTTATAGATTGTTGGTATTAGTCCTTTGTCAGATGTATAGTTTGCAAATATTTTTCCAATTTTGTAAGTTGTCTGTTTACACTGTTGATATTTCTTTCACTGTGCAGAAGCTCTTAAGTTTAATTAAGCCCACATTGTCAAATTTTGGTTTGTTGCATTTGTTTTTTGAGGTCTTAGCCATAAATTATTTGCAGAGGCCAATGTCCAGGAGACTTTTTCTTAGGTTTTCTTCTAAGATTCTTATAGTTTGAGGCCTTATGTTTAAAAGTTTAATCTATCTTGAGGTAATTATTGTATATAGTGAAATATAGCCATCCAGTTTTATTCTTCTGTGTATGGCTAGCCAGCTATCCCAGCAGCATTTATTAAATAGGCTAGCCTTTCCTAATTTATTCTTTTTGTCAACTTTGTAAAAGATCAGTTGGTTGTAGACATGTGGCTTTATTTCTGGGTTTTCTATTCTGTTCCATTTGTCTATGTGTCTATTTTTGTACCAGTACCATACTATTTTGGTAATAGCATTATAGTATAGTTTGAAGACAAGTAATGTGATGCCTCTGACTTTGTCTTTTTACCTAGGATTGCTTTGACTATTCAGACACTATTTTGATTCCATATGAATTTAGAATTGATTTTTTTTCATCATTTTAAACATGACATTGGTAATTTGATAGGAATGGCCCAAATTTGTAGATTGCTTTGGGGAATATGGACATTTTATCTATATTAATTCTTCAAATTAATGACCATAGAATGTTTTTCTGTTTGTGTATGACACCTATCATTTCTTTCATCAGCTTTTTGTAATTCTTTTTCTAGAGACATTTTACTTCCCTAGTTAGATGTATTCCTAGTTTTTTTTTTTTTTTTTTGAATGGCTATTGTAAATTGCATTGTGATTTTTATTTGGTTTTCTACTTGAACATTACTGGTGTATGGAAATGCTACTGATTTCTGTACATTAATTTTGTATCCTGAGACTCAAACGAAGTCATTTATTAAACCTATGTGTCTTTTGGAGGGATCTTTAGGGTTTTCACAGTATGAAACCATATAATCAGTGAGCAGAGATAATTTCACTTCCGCTTTTTTTAAAATTTAAATTTGGGTGCCTTTTATCTATTTCTCTTGTCTGATTGCTCTAAGAGTTCCAATACTATGTTGAATAGGAGTAGTGAGAATGGATACCTTCATCTTATTACAGTTCTTAGGGAGAATGCTTCCAATGCTTTTCTACTGAGTGTGATGTTGGATGTGGGCTTGTGATAGATGGTTTTTATTATTTTGAGAGATGTGCCTTTGATACGTAGTTGTTGAGGGTTTTTATCATAAAACAATGTTGGATTTTCTTGAAAGCTTTTTTGGCATTTATTAAAATGTTCATATGGTTTTTGTTTTTATTCTCTTTGTATGGTTAATAATATTTACTGATTTGCATATATTGAACTATACTTGCATCTCAAGAGTAAAGCTCATTTTATTGTGACAAATTATCTTTTTGATGTGCTATTAGATTAGGTTTGCTAGTATTTAGGTAAACATTTTCCATCTATGTTCATTAGAAATATTTGCCTGTAGTTGTCTTTGTTTGTGGTATACTTGCCAGTTTTGGTATTAGGATGATACTGACTTTGTGGTATGAGTCAAGGAGGAGTCCCTCCTCCTTACTTTTTTGCATAGTGTAGGTATCTATTAATACTTTTGTTGGGGGCCTCAGAAAGCTTACAATCATGACAGAATGTTATGGGGAACCAACCTGTCACATGGTGAGAGAGGGACCATGGTGAGTGCAGGTTCCAGGTTCTTTTAAACAAACAGCTGTCATGTGAACTACCAGAGTTAGAATTCACTCATTCCTATAGGGATGGCACCAAGCCATTCAAAAGGGATCCATTCCACTAACCCAAATACCTCCCACTAGGCCCACTTCCAATATTGAAGGTCACATTTCAACTTGAGATTTGGAGGGGACACACATCCAAACTATATCATGGGTTAAGAGAAAAAAGGATGGTTAATGAGGAGTGATTGCAAAGGACTGGAGAAGGTAAAAGGTAAGGAAATGAAAGCAGCTTTGAAGAAAGTTGCATGAATGTGAACTACTAAGGTTATTGCTTTTATATATGGCTCAACCAGTATTGCCTAGCAAGAGGTTAAGTCTTTATAGGAGTTGAACAGGGCCAGGTACATAGAGTAAGAACTTTGTTGTCCATATTACACATGTCCATATTACATCCGAAAATCCAGAATTTTTGGCAGCCAGTGAATTTTCAGTTTATATATTCTACCTGAGGGTATATATAATATATATATTCTGAATATATATATTCTACTTGAGAGGATATGTAATAACTTTGCTTGAATTACACATGCCACAAGAGCATTTTTGGAAGAGATCTTTTTCCTCATAACTCAAATTCTATATAAGTATGTCTAAAAATTATGATTTCTGAAACTAAATAAATGGTTTTTGAGTTGTCCAGAGGTTTGAAATAATGAACAGTTCTCTTTATTTTGATTTTTGCAAAATTGCTTTCTGCTCAAACAAAATGTTTTGCTAGAATAGACAAGTTGCAGAAATGATATTGTAACAAAGACAAACCCCCATTGATTCAGTAAATCTGTTCTACATAAAAGTTTGTGAAATTATTTATGCATTTGTGGTGAGGAATATTATGACATAAATGGTCCCTAGCATGTATGGAATGTTTTCTTTATGTGTGCCAGGGACTTTATGCTATCATCTGATTTCTGGTATTTTCCAGGCACTCTCATACATTAACACAAAGAAATTGAAATAAATGTTCTCTTCGCAAATTCTTAGATTTTACATCCAGTATTTCAGCAGCTCCATTCTTGATAAAGGACAAAACTATCTTAGACAAGGCCAATCCTCATATAATTTTAATCAAATAACTAAGGAAATAGAATATCTGACTAAAGAACTATATGCCAAGCTTCAATGAAACAATACCACATGTAGAACTCTGAAGAACGGACTTGTAAATACTTTATTCAACAGAACTGTTCACAATATGTTTCTTTATGTATGTGAATGAACATGTAAGACCTTTCTTATATAAACTTAATAAAACTGCAGACTGCTACCAGAGCATTTAATCATGGGCAAAAGCTGTACTTACACTAAATATTTCAAAACTCATAGCTGCACAGAATTTAGTTACCAGTGTTGAAATAACACTCCACATCGATTACCCACCACTCCAGTTTATCTGAACTAACAGATATCCAGGACATGGAACTTTCAGTGCTAAAACCAGGAAGGTCTTGGATGAGTTGGAACAAGTTGGTCATCCTGCTGATATAATATATAAGTCACATGTTTCTTATGGAAATAGCTCCAAAATATTGCCTATAATTGTATTGAGAAACACTGTTTATGCTTTTTTTTTTGGTCTTTGTAAGCTATTTTATATACTAAGCCTGAGCTACCTAATGATGTAAATAATTTGTTGTAAATATGCTCCAATACATATTGCTCCAAGAACAATGAATTTTCGGTATTCCAAGTTATTCATCAGATTAGAATAGTCATAACATTTTCCCCCCCAAATAGAGTGAATTTTCTGCCACAAAATTATGAATTTCATTCCTTATAATTCCACTCAGAATGGAGTAAGAATGAGCTTTGCAGAAATATACTAGAAACAGTTATGTATTTGATATTGAAATCAGAATCAACAATTGATAGCTATAGCAACCTTTTATAGCAACCTCAATGCAATTACTACAGAAACTTCCCTCACCCTTGACATTTTGAGTGCTATATTTTTTCCTCCATTAATATTGAATAAAACCTCAAATTTAAATAGAAAATTTTTGTGCCATGTCTTGTGCTATGTATAGGTTAAGAAATGATATCACTTCTTAACCTATACATAGCATTTACAGATCCCTTGCACACCTCATTAGAATGTACACAATTTTGTGCTTGGCACTTAGTAAATTGTCTAATAGACAGGAAGCCCCCAATACATAGCTGTACATAAAATGAATGGTTTCCAAATGAAACAAAGTATTTGCGTCATCTGTCAAGAGCTTACAATTCCCCCAGGGAACCAAATGATCTACGAAAACCGTATTTTCCTCAACCTCAGCATTATTTACATTTTAGGTGAGGTAAGTATTTATTATGGTTGGCTGTCCAGTGCATACTACAATATTTAGCAACATCCTTGATATCTACTCATTAGATGCCAGTAGCCACTGCTCTCTCACCCTGTTCTGAGAGCCTAAAATATCTCCAGACATTTGCCAAATGTCTCATTTGTAAAATCACTGCAGGTTGAGAACAGGAGGTATAAAAATTAAATCACAAAACCTGAGATAATAAAGTTAGACTAAGAAGAGTTGTGCTCCAGCCAAGGACTGTGGCTCATGCCTGTAATACCAGGACTTTGGGAGGCTAAGGGAGAAGGAGCACTTGAGCCCAGGAGTTCAGGACCAACATAGTAAGACCTCATCTCTACAAAAAGTTAAAAAATATTAACCAGGTGTGGTGGTACATGCCTGTAGTCCAGCTATCCAGGAAGATGAGGTGGGAGGAAGGCTTGAGCACAGGAGGTCGAGGCTGCATCTGATTTGAGCTCTTCAATGGCCTTTGGGAGGCAGAACGTGGAGAAAGAGATTAATCCATTTGTGGAGTCTGGAAAGAAATATTTCAAAACTAGAGGTAATAAACAATTTAGTTCAAATATCTTCCAAGGCTGGGCAGAGGAATAATTTAGGTAAAACATCACAGCATCTGTGGGGCCAAATTCTAAATTTATTTTGAAAAGGCAATATTTGAAAATGTCAAAATTATTCTTAAACCACTTTAGAAAATTAGTACTCTATAGACCAATACTCTATACCATCTATTAATAAATCTAACACAGCCAGTGTGTTTTCTCTCTCCAGCATTCATACAGTTTAATCTTTCTACATGACATTTAATGTGATCTTAAGAGGTATGCTGGATTTAAAAGTTAGAGTTACACTCTAGGGCATAAATGCTTTGAGTGGAAGAGTGAGTAGAAATACCCATGCTATTTAAAGTGTTTTCATTTTTTAATTTTATTCTTTTTTTTGTTTATGGTTGATGACAGTTTTATTTGGAGACATAATTTAAATACACCTTTCATGTCACTTTTAGGCATGAGATAAGAGAGTTTAAGAAAAGGCTATAATCTGGACAAAGGAAAACTATCAAAGCTATGAGTGCAAAGTAGAATCTGAAGGAATTCCCAAAAGTTGGGAAGATGCTGCAGGCTGTTGTTTAATGCACTTGTGGGTTTAGCTAATATAAGAATGGAAATATTGAGTTTCCAGATTCATTCAGAACAGTAATGATATAAGGTAAGTAGATAATTTGAGGGGGGAAAATAGTTGTTTGAGCTGGAGAGCTTGCTGAAATTCTTTTGAATGGCTTTAGAAGGAACATATTTAGGTTATAAAGAATACATTTGTTATATTTAGGTTATAAAGAATACATTTGAGTAAAACTATGAGCAAAAATAAGAATAAGAATGACATGGCAACTCCCATGCAGGAGATATCATGTTGTTTATTTGGGGAAATCTATGAGTTCTGGAAGGTAGTTTAAAAGAAAAACTTTGGACTGGACACATATGAAAAATGTTAAGACATTTTATTTGAACTATTCCTATAGGGGAAACAGAGTTCAGTATAGAACTCTGAGGTCAGTTCCAAACACAGCAAACACAGCTAGGGATTGATAATTAATGGAGTGAAGGGGTCTCTGGATAGAAAATTATGAAGAGGGACTTGATTACACATCAAGTGTAGGGAGTTATTTACTAAACTCTCTTAACAGAATTCTTGCTAAAGGCAGGCCAAAGACTTAAGTATCAAAGGTGGAGATGAGGAACTTGATCAGAAATCAAGGGTGGACAGATTCTGGATAAAGATTGTTAAAAACTGGGCTCAGGGGCCAAGAATAAGTAGCAGGCCAAGGTCAAGGCCTAGCGAAAAACGAGTTCAGGGGAGCTTGTCTAAATTTTGGTCAAGAAGAGAGTTCACATCAGTAGGATGCGACCTGATTACAGAGCTTTTTCAGTTGGGAAGCTGCTTCAACTGTGCAACTACAGAAAAGTATGTCATTCTTTATTCTGCTAGATATTTTTGTTCTTGGATACCATTCTGAAAATTACACTTTCTCAATTATTTTGTTTATTTTTATCCATTTTACTAGTAATCTCTATTTTTACACCTGACCTATGGCCTACTGAAATACTGCATTTTATTCTTCTTATAAATGCCTTGCTTCTGCTATCCAAGCTACTCAACTCATTAACACCCACATTCTTACATCACAATCAGATTGAAGGTTTGACTCTGCAAACAATGGGAGTAAGAATGAATATAAGAAGAAATTACGAGCAGTGATACGCCACTACCGCCACTACCGATTCTGAGCAATTATTAACATGAATTACATGAATATCAACATATTGTGTGCTTTTTAGCTAAACTAAAAAAAAAAGTTTTCATGTTAAATTTATATGAATTCCTATTGCATAAAATTTAGAAATCTTGGTCCACATTCCTAAAGCAGCACAATGGAAATAAGGCAGACGTTGACACTAGTAGATCTGAATTAATATTTTATTTAACAGAAATCTTTACCCTTCAGGATGCTGCACTACAAAAAGATAGAAATATTGAGCCTGAAAAAAAATTCAAAAATTTAAAAATATTTTTTCCAAGGAGGAAATATATCATCTTTTGTTGTTGCCCAATTAACACACACACACACACACACACACACACACACACACAAACACACGAAATATTTCATCTTTTTTATTGCCCAATTAACATATACGTATATATATAATAATATGTAATTCACAAAATTCAGGTATACATTTTTAAATTTGAAGTTATTCATCCTCCCAGAATCACTTCCTCAAGATGTATCCTAGAAATATTTAAATTTACATCCTTGGAGAATTTCAATGCCTATACATTCAATATAAATAGAAAAGAAAAACAAATAAATAAATCGGAAAGAAATATTCACATACGGCCAGTCGCAGTGGCTCATGCCTGTAATCCCAGCACTTAGGGAGGCTGAGGCAGGCGGATCACCTGAGGTTGGGAGTTTGAGACTAGCCTGACCAACATGGAGAATCCTCATCTCTATTAAAAATACAAAAATTAGCCAGGCATGGTGGCGCATGTCTGTAATCCCAGCTATTTGGGAGGCTAAGGCAGGAGAATCACTTGAACCCGGGAGGTGGAGGTTGTCGTGAGCCAAGATCGCTCCATTGCACTCCAGCATGGGCAAAAAGAACGAAACTCCATCTCAAAAAAAAAATTCACATACTACTCTGTAATTTGTTTCTATTTAACAATAACTTTTCTCTGTAATATGTAAAAATCAACTTTATTTTTAATTATTAAAATTATTTTATTAATATAGTATAATTTACATATTTAGGGTCTATAAATGTACATTTTTTTCAATTTTAACTTTAGTTCCAATGCTTTAATGAATGTGCTACTACGTAAACATTTGCACATTTGCACACATGCCCTAGAAGTGGAATTCTTACATCAAAGAAATGAAGATCTAAAACATTGATAAACACTGTCGAATTTCATTAAAAATATTATTTATTTTACAGTCCCTCAGAGAATAAAATGTCACTTTTCCAAAATTTTTGCCAGCACACACTATCACTCCTTTAGATCTTTGAAAATATGATAGCCAAATACATATGTATTGTATTAGTCAATTCTAATACTGCTGTAACAAAATACTCAAGACTGGGTAATATATAAAGGAAGGAGGTTTAATTGACTAACAGTTCTACTTGGCTGGGGAGGCCTCAGGAAACTTACAATCATGGCAGAAGGCCAAGAAGAAGCAAGGACCTTCTTCACATCATGGCAAGAGAGAGAAGAGCCAGCAAAGGAGGAACTTGTCAAACAGTTATAAAACCTTCAGATCTTGTGAGAACTCACTCACTATCATGAGAACAGGATGGGAGAAACTGCCCCCATTATCCAATTACCTTCCACCAGGTTCATCCCTCAACACCTGGGGATTACAATTCAAGATGAGGTTTGGGAGGGGACACAGAGCATAACCATGTCATGTATATATACAGTTTCATATTTATAGTTGAGTAATAAATATTATATCTAAAAAGGAGAGAGCATATATCTTGCTGGTATTACAAATTAAAAAATAAAATATTTACAGAATATAGGTGAGAAGACATGATCAAATGTGATGACACCTATCTTCCTTAAAATTTTGGGTGTATACCATTCTCTTTCCTGAATTTAACAATGGCTTGTGGATGCATAGTGTATGCTGTAGTACAGAGAAGAGAATAAAATAAAATAAAACTATATTTTTATTGATAACCTCTATAAACAAAGCCATTAGAGGCTTTCCAAGATGAATGTCCCTTACAGAATTATACTCCACTCAGAATAAATTTGTGATAAGTACTCATTACATTTTAAACATTAAACCACTACATTGGAAAACTTGTTGACAAACTGTTTAATTTTCACCAAGTGACCTAAACTCTCTGGAAAGTGAATTCTCTCAACTGTAAAAGAAGGGTATTGAATAGATGACAAAAAATTCCTTCTAGCAGAAAAATTATATTATCTAAAGTGTACTTTTCCTGCAGTATATCCAAAAAATGTTAGCATAATATTTCTAGATTTAGCAACTATGTAAGAACACTAATATAAAATATTAATAGATGATATTAAGAATACAAAGTCACGTGATTTATAGTATGGCCATTAAAGTCCCACAGTCTCTACTGAGAGTCATTTTTAAGTTTTTCTTTGCTTTTACAAAGTATAGATGTATTAATTTTGCAATCATGTATTAATTTCTGCAAAACTACTACTGAACAAAAGATTGAATAATTTAACATCTTATACCACAGTGAAAATGAATAAACTATGAATATGTGCATCTTAGATGAGTAAGAAAAATAATTGTAGATAAATATAAAATTCCCAGATGGCTAAGTAATATACAGTATATTTTGTAAAGCTAAAAACTTAAACAATATAATATAAATAATTATTTGTAATATGGTTAGAAAAGTAACCAGAAAATTTTAATTATAAAACTCTAGAAATTCCTACTTATTTATGTGAAACAAAGGAATGAAATAAATGAGAAGCAAAGATAGATGCAATACTATTAATGAAAATTCATTCTTCAGTAAAAACTTTTTTCTATGGAGATTTATTGTTATATTTTAAAAGATAAAGCTATGTTTAGAGTCTTTTGGAGATATCAACAATTTTCTGTTAAAAAGGAAATAATTGGAAACAAACAACACTAAGAAACACATAAAAATACCATTTTCACTATATATTTTTCTAATTTTAAATAATTCTGCCAAGATATATGTAAGATCAATGTGAAAAAATACATAAAGGTAAGAAATGTATATTTATTGATATACTTTAAAAAGGAAATAATGACTATGCTTTATATTTTAAGAGTATATTATTGCAGACATGCCAATTATACCCTATGTGTTGTAAAGATTAAGTCAAATTCTAAAATCGGGTTTATTTTTTGTAAACAAAAGACAATCTCATTCTAACATTTACATGGAAGAATAAACGAGGCAAGTAATATACAAGAACATCCTACACAAAAAATAGAGGCACATGCTCTGCTAGATAAATTATATTATTATTCAATTATATATATACACATAACTTATTATTCACTTATAATAAAACTGTAATACTTATTTTGTATATAAAATGTCAAATACTGCTATGATTTAAATGCTTTTTATCTCTTAAACTCATGTTGAAATGTAATAAGGCCTTTAACAGGTGATTAGGCCATGAAGACTCTGCCCTCATGAACAGACTAATGCCTTTATCATGGGAGTGGGTCCATTATTAAAGAACAAGTTTGGCCCTCTTTTGCTCTCTCTACCCGATTCTTTCCCTTTCATCTTCCTCCATGATATGATGCAGCAAGATGGCCCTCACCAGATGCCAATCCCTCAGTCCTGGACTTCTCAGATAGCAGAACTATGATAAATAAATTTCTACTGTTTATAAACTACCCAGTCTTGGGTATTCTTTTATAGCAGCACAAAACAGACTAAGACATACATACACGTGCAAACACACACACAAACATAAACATACACACACAATTATACAATTCTGTTGCTCACTAAGTCATGAACAACACATTTTATTAATCATGTAGACAAATATAATACAAAGTGAAAATCTAACATAAGCATATAATTAGCTATATAACAAAGCTATGTTTTTAAGAGTATTAATGGCAGAGCAGTTAGGAAACAAGAGGCCATTCAAAAAGCACATACTGGAGAAACCATTGACTATAAAATAGAAGTAAATAAAATCAAATCTCTATTTTACGCACTACTCAGATACCAATTCTGAAATGACAGATAGGTTGGAATTATCAAAGACATCAAAACAGCTATTAAAACCAAGTTCCATGAAGTAACAGCAAACATTCTTGAATTAACTGGGAAGCTAAAAGTTAGTCAAAAAACAGAAGCTAGGAAAAAAAAGCTAAATGCTTTAAAACTGAAAATAACCCAGAAACAAAACAAACAAAACTAGTCACTGATTGGGCTCAATAGCAGAATAGAGTCAACAGAGAAAAGAATCGGTAATGTTAAAATCTGTAGAAATTGTTTAACCTGAGAAATAATCAGCAAAGACTATGAAATAAATAGAACTTCTAAGGTTTTGACACAATGTTATTATTAGATTCCTTGAAAAACGAAGGCAAAAGTATTAATACGCAAACAGTATTTAAATAATGACTGAAAACCTCCCAAATTTGGTGAAAAACATATATTTTAAAATGAAAAACTTTAGCAAACTTCAAACAGGATAGACTCAAAGAGAACCATAGAAAAGTGCATCATAATCAAATCACAGAACACCAAAAATAAAGACAAATACCTTGAAAACTAAAAGACAAAAGCACATTACATATAGGTAAACAACTATTCAAAAATCATGAGGATTCTCATCAGAAACCATGGAGGCCAACAGGCAGTTGAAATATATTTCAAAGGACTGAAAGAAAAGGACTGTCAAGACAGAATTCCATATCTAGTAAAAATATCCTTCAGAAGTAAATGAAAAAGTGCATTCTCATATGAAAAAAAGAGTAAGAAAGTTGCCAGTATAACTGCTCTGAAATAAATGTAAAGGCAGATCTTCAGCTAGAAGGGAAATATAACAGAGACAAATGTGAGCCCCCCAAAATAAAGAAAAAGCAACAGAAATTGTACATTTCTGGGTTAATTTAATATGCTTATTTTCTCTTGTTAAATTCTGGCTTAATATAATATGCTTATTTTCTCTTGTTAAAATGTGCTTATTTTCTCTTGTTAAAATCTTGTTAAATTACAGTAATACTGACTGTAAATAAACTTTGAAAAGTTATACATGCATATTATAAACACAGTGTAACCACAATTTACAAAGAAATGCAGATTTACCACATCCAATAGATAAAATGAAATACTAAAAAAGTAATCCAATAATAAAACAGAAGGCAGAAAAGATAATTCAGAGAAATAAAAATAGAGAAGGGGGGAGACACAAAACAGACCATAAAATTGTAGACCCAGAGAAGAGTATCTTTGTTCATTTCGTGTTTGTTTGTTTGTTTTGTTTTTCATTTTCTAAGCCAGTTTGCACTCACATCTGCCAATAAAACTTAATCATTTTCAGTTTCTGGGACCTGGCCAAAACAGTTCAGAAGCACTCAATCAGCCTGAGTTTATGACAGCACTTGAGTAGAGCTGGGTTAAATTTGTACTGTAATCCTCCAACTCCATGAAATGTATCAAAAGTGAGTTACAACATGTTTGTTTAGGGTTGAGTCAGGCTTACTTTTTTCTGGAAAGTCATTCTGTTTCACAGCCTACACTGAAATCCCTCCATTTATACACCAATGCAAATCACAAAGTGTGTATCATTGAATATAATTTACAATAGTACTCAGATTTGCAAACTTTTTCTCGTAGTCGTTCACCACAGTCCATGGCATTATAGGTTAAGAGAGGATATGGGTCAGACTGCCTGGGAATATACTAATTATGTGACCTGAGGCAAATAGTTAAATTCTCAAAGCTTCAATTCTCTCATTTCCAAAGTGGAGCAAGGAATAACTTCTATCTGATTTCTTGATAAAAGGATGACATAGATAATACATTTAAAATGATCAGCAGACTGACTGGAACATAGTGAGTGTTCAGTAAATGTTATTCATAAGTTTTATGACAAAGAAACTCAGGAGGAGTGAGTCTAAGACACACACCTAGACAAAAATGGAATTGTTTCTAACTCAGATCTTCTTAGGTTTAATCATAGTTATTATATCTTTTTCTGCTTAATCCTCATACTTAGTCATTATTTGTGCTCTCACAATTTTCAGGTACTGAATAATCACATAGTTTAGACCACCAACTGCAAAACTGTATTGATGGTGCCAAAAATCTCAGCTCCACACATATCAGTTGTGCACTGTTGGGTAGATTACTTAAAGTCATGCTTCCTAGGTTGCTTTGTCTAAAAAATGTAGATCATGTTAACTATGCTTTTATGGGAATTGAGTGTGTGTGTGTGTGTGTGTGTGTGTGCATGTGGGGATGCGTGTGTGTGCATATAGTTTAGAATAGTACCTAGCACTTTGAATAATTTAAAAAATGGGAACTATTTTATTATTATTATTTATATTTTATTTTAGATTTGTGGCCAGTGTTTGCAACTATGTAACATATTCACTGAAAGCAGAAATTATATCTTATACTTTTCATTACTCCCTCGTTACCTTAATACTGGTGATTACAAATCATTTAATCACTAAATATTTATTGATCTGCATCAAGAACTTGATTCACTGGTTACTGAATAGTTCATTACACATAAGGACAATAGATCTCGAAATATTTATTTTTACTTCTTAACCCTAAGGAAATCATAGGATGGTCTTAAAATCATTTCCTAGATCTATATCTGTGTCATATTCGCCCTTAAATCAATATTCTACTTCTTTGAATTCCAACATTAAAACTTTGTCCCAGTGCTGTTTCACAATTCACTTTTCAGTCTTCTTCAGACTCTCATTCCCTGAAATTACATTACCTCAATTCTGTAAAATTAAGTAATACATCCCTCTAAAATTTTATAGTTTGTTATTAACAGTGAGGAAAGCTTAGGAATAAAAGAAATGCCTTTCTTGAGAATTTAGAGAATAGAGAATAGTAAGTTTAAATAAATAAATGTCCTTCTAATTTCACATACATATATACATATACACACATGCACACACATACACACAGGAAATATTTTTCTATAAAAAATTAAACTATAGTCAATTTTTTTTTGCAAGAAACAGCTCCTTTGAGAGCTGTTAGTAGTGAAGCTGGTAAAGTGGAAAAACTAAATTTATATCTCACAACAGAGATTGGATGTTGTTAAAGCCCAGAATGAATTATTTGCTCCTGGCAGCTATTTCTTACAGGTGGAATCAGAGCTTCTCAAAGCTTAACAAGAAACCTTCCAAAAGTAGTGAACTTGGGCAAGTTCATATGCTACGACTCCAGAGGAAAACATAGAGAAATATTGAAAGGAAAGCCTTAAGCTGTAAAATCACCTGCCAGAGCAAAAATCCTGTTCTATCATTGCAGATAGAAAAGCAAAGCAAGCTCATTTTTCCTCCAGTTTATGATTGCATCCACTTGGAGAAAGCAAGGGAATATAGGGGCTTAGAGAATTAGAGTATGGGTCTTATTAAAATAACATTTAGGTGGAAGAAAATGTCTTTACCTTGAAAAATGCAGTGATCACAACCTAAGAAAACATTAAGTATCTATTTTCCTTGGGGGAAGAGAACCATGTGCTTATAAAAAGGTGGCTTGACACTTGAGAGGAAAAAAATAAAGACTAACAACCTAGGCAACAATTCTGTCAAACACTTATAAGAGAAATATGTCTAATTTTTGCTGTAACTCTCAAAGACATACAAATTACTTTTACATGCTCTGTGACAATAATTAAAGCCAAAACATCTAAATAAGGAGGGATAGGTTAGTCAATAAATAGCAAACCAAATCTTAATATAAGGCAAACAGTGAAGAACATATGTAGGGAAACACAAGTCTGTAAAGTTAGGGACTTTAGTTTTTCCACATAAGTTTTCTGACACTGTCCAGTGCTATAGAATTAGATCATACATATATATATAGTCTTTTTCTCAAAAATAATGGAGACAATTATCTTTCTTCTCACCTTGCCCTAACTGGACAGCACTATTTCCCCTTTCTGTAAATCTATCACTAGCATTATGAGCTATTACTTTATCTTTCTGAAACATGGCATATGCAATCTAAAAATCTCACAGAAAGGTCAGTGAAATGGAAAAAAAATGTGTTTTGTTAAAAATCCCTTGGACTAGCATCTTAAGTTAAAAATAAGGATTTTTGTTGTTTCTGTTCCTCATAGAAGTACATCTCAACATATCCCCAATTCATGCTTCCAGAAATATCATAGGCTGCAATATGAACTGTCAGTGAAGTTGTTTGCTTTTTTCTTTCAATTTTTCTCATTCCTTTTGACAGCTCACAAAGCTTTGCTATAGGTTGTCCTTTTATAAATTTTGCACCTGCATGGACAACTTCTTCTTTTTTATCATAACCACTGTTTGTCAGCAATCAGAACTGCATAAACATGGTATTACTTTAGATGACTCTTGATGTGTCTGACAAGAACCAAACTACTTATTCTCTTATATTTTATCTCCTGTTCTGGAGGAATAAAAGAAAGTTTTCGCTCTCAATCAGTGTCAGTTTCTGCACTACATATTCACTGAATTTATTCTTTTTCCAGTATAACTTTTCCAAATTAAAACAAAAATTTTATTTCACTCTATCTGCACTAGGCATAATATTATTTAATAAGTCTTCAATAATTTTCAGGCTTTAGTCTGATAACATGATACCTAAGTATGCTGGTCCTTTAAGGGATTCTAATTATTTACCATAATATATGCTTTAAAGCATGTCATCTCTTAAGAATTATTGAAAGATGTTTCCTAAAGAAAGCAGAAATGAGATAAAATAAAATGAGAAAATTATTACATGACCTTTATTTCTTGGCCAATTCATTCAATAAATATGTACTTATTGAGTCAATTATAACATATAGTATGTTAAAAATTTGCCATATAAATGTGAAGAACTTATAATAAAAACATCAATTAGCTGATGTTTTTATGGGGAGTAAGACATAAGAGGAAATATTTTCTAAGTAGAGGATGGAATGGGAACGGTAGCTATGAATGAAACTCCTTGTGAGTATTGGGTCTAGGAACACTTTCAGAAGGTAAATAAAATGTTCACACAACAATAGAACAGCAAAACATCTCACACTCCACATCTCTGCAGTGGCTGTGAGAATGGCAGCCCCGGTTCTTGGTGTGGCTTGCCACTGCTGCAGGGGGCAATACAGACCTTGGTCTCAAGGAACTTTGGTTGTGTTTTGACCTGTCTGGTAGCTCTTTGAGGAATCAGCTCAGGGACTTGCGTTTGTTGTTACAATCTGATTCTAAAGTTTACACGGAAAAGTAAAAGACTCGACGAGCCAACACAATACTGATGAGCAAGAACAAGGATGGAGGACTCATCTGATTTAAGGACTTACCATGAAGCCCAGACATGACCCACACAATATATAAAGAATACCTGACAATGAAGCAAAGGCAATTCAATAAAAATGAGTCTTTCGAACAATTGGTGCTAGAACAATTGAACCTCTGTCTGCAGAAAAATAAACCTAGACACAAGCCTTACACGTTTTGCAAAAATTAACTCAAAATGTATTGTAGATCCAAATGTTAAGATGCAAAGCTATAACTTGTAAAAGAAAACATGGGAGAAAATTTATGTATCTGTGAGTTTAATTATATAGCACCAAAAGTGTGATTCATGAAAGAAAAAAATAGGAAGTAGACTTTATAAAATTTTTTAAAATTATACTTTGAAAATACACTGTTAAGAGATTGAAAGACAAGCCACAGACTGAGAAAAAAGTGTTTTCTATACTTACATCTGGTAAAAGACTTGAATACAAAATATACACCTATTGAAACACACAATAAGAAAAAATGTTAATGGGCAAGAGATCTGACCTCAGCAATGAAGATTTTTGTATTGCAAATAGGGATATAAAAAATTAAGCTCAGGCCGGGCGCGGTGGCTCACGCCTGTAATCCCAGCACTTTGAGAGGCCAAGGCGGGCGGATCACGAGGTCAGGATATCGAGACAATCCTGGCCAACATGGTGAAACCCCGTCTCTACTAAAAATACAAAAAATTAGCCGGGCGTGGTTGCGGGCTCCTGTAGTCCCAGCTACTCGGGAGGCTGCGCCAGGAGAACGGCGTGAACCCGGGAAGCGTAGCTTGCAGTGAGCCGAGATCGCGCCACTGCTCTCCAGCCTGGGCGACACAGCGAGACGACTCTGTCTCAAAAAAAAAAAAAAAAAAAAAAAAATTAAGCTCAACATCATCTATAATTAAGGAATCTCAAGTCAAAACAATAAGCTACCACTATGCCTATTAGAATGAACATTTTAAAATTGACAATACCAATTACTAGCAAGAATGTGGACCAAAAGAAATTTCAATTAATTGCTGATGGCAATGCAAAATGGTACAGCCATTTTTGAAAACCATTTGTTAATGTCTTACAAAGCTAGACATAGTCTTCTCAGATAATCCAGCAATCACGCTCCATGATTTTTTTAAATTTTACTTTAAATTCTGAGATACATGTGCTGAATGCACAGATTTGTTACAAAGGTATACATGTGCCACGTTGGTTTGCTGCACCTATCAACCCATCATCCAGGTTTTAAGCCCTGCATGCATTAGATATTTGTCCTAATGCTCTCCTTCTCCTTTCCCCCGGCCCCCGACAGCCCCAGTGTGTGATGTTCCCCTCCCTGTGTCCATGTGTTCTCATAGTTCAACTCCCACTTGTGAGTGAGAACCTGTGGTGTTTGGTTTTCCGTTCCTGTGCTCGTTTGCTGAGGATGATGGTTTCCAGCTTCATCCATGTCCCTGCAAAGGACATGAACTCATTCTTTTTTATGGCTGCATGCTCCATGATTTTCACCAACTGATTTGAAAACTTACATTTACAACAAAAGCTGCATGTAAATACTTATAGCAGCTTTACTCATACGGGCAAATGAGGAAGCTAACAAGATTTCCTTCAATAAGTGAATGAATAAAAAAATTTATGATGCATCTGTAGAGCTGATATTATTAAGTGATAAAATGAAGTGAAATATGAATCCATAAAAGACATTTTTGAATTTTAAATGCATATTTCTATATGAAAAAGTCAGTGTGAAAGGGCTACATATTGGATAATTACAATGGTTTAACTTACTGGAGAAGGCAAAACTGTAACAATGGACAAAAGGTGAGTGGATGCCAGGGTTTGTAATTTTTCTGTGAATCTCTAGCTATTCTAAAATAAAAATGTTATTTAAAAAATTAGAAGTTTTATATTATATCAAGAATTTTCTGTTAGGAATGGAAAAAAGTGCCCATGGTAATCAAGCCTGCCATTTTGTTTGAAGTTCATGGTTTCAATTCTTATCATTCAAGTGTTCAGCTTTTGGATTAAAAGACTCCTCAACTGTCCCAAGTAAAAATGTGGACATGGTTGATGGAAGTAAGATGTTAATAAAGTAGTCATTATTACCTTAGCCTTTAAGTCCACTTGAATAAATCAACTGAAAACTAGCTAAATTTTGGAAAGGGGAGATGAAAACTGACAGTAAAATATTCTGAGCAAACATATTATTGTAAGAAGAAAGGAATGCATATTGATTTAGATAAGGGAGTGTTATTTCAGAGAAAATGAGAGATATTAATATTTTCTTTTAACAGTGGGACTTCTGCAGGAAGAAAATATTTTTATAGTTTGACTCAGTAAAAAGAAGGTATAAAAAAAGAGGTACAGAATTGGCAAACTGGCATGTGTTCACAAATGATGAACCTTTCCTTGCATCTCATTTTACCTGGAGGTAGTTCTGATGGGATGTTAGATATATAAATGAGGTAATTCATATTATTAGAGATAAAATAATGGGAATATATAATGAAATGCACCTTTACATATATACTTTTATTCATTACAATTTTATTTTTTAAATAACCTTTGGAAGGGGTAAGAAATACAGGTAAAGATTAGTATTTATTGATATTTTAAGTATTTGTCTGAGTTATTCAAATTAGCATTAAAAGGAGAAAATGTTACATTGGTTATTGGAAGATAAAACCAAATTAAATTATATACTTGTGGCCTCAAGATTGAAATTAGCTAAACACATATTAGAACAAGGGTTCTTTTGGATAAAATGTCCTTTGCCCATATAAATGATAATAGAATAAAATAAGTATCAGGGCAATTAACTAAACAGTCATAATTATTGACTGATCATATGTAAAATAAAAATGTCATCTTTTATCAAAAGTTTAGACAGGATTTTGGGAGGAAATTGTGAGAAACAAAAAATGTAATCCCAATAGGATGAACACAGCTTGTAAATAAAATATTGCTTTGAGTTTGTTTTCTTAAGATATTTTTGGATGTAATAAATAATAATAATAAACAGTGAGAACACTTGGACACAGGAAGGGGAAGATCACACACCGGGGCCTGTTGTGGGGTAGGGAGAGGAGGGAGGGATAGCATTAGGAGATATACCTAATGTAAATGATGAGTTAATGGGTGCAGCACACCAACATGGCACATGTATACACATATAACAAACCTGCATGTTGTGCACATGTACCCTAGAACTGAAAGTATAATAAAAAATTATATATAAAAGATATTTTTGGATGTAATAAAGATTTACTGCTTACAATATAAAGAAAACAAAGTCTTTTGGGTCTTTTTTAGCACAATTATTCCTTTTGTCCATCTTATTATATGAAAAGGAATATGGTCTGAAAAAAATATAGACATTACTCAGTACTTGGTCTTTGTGAATTGTCAAAGCATCAGAGCAAATATTGGAGAAGTTTTATTGCTTAAGTTCTTGTCTCTGCTTCTGGCTTTTGTCAAGAGGGTCAGGTCCCCTTCACAAGAAGGGTATAAGTATAGAGCAGGAGGTCAACAAGCGATAATTCTAGGTTTCAGTTTAAAGAACACAGAAGAAATCTTTCATGAGCTTAGGAAAATTGGAGAAGTATACTTCAAGTAACTTGGGTTTCTGAAGCTCTTTTTTAGAAAATCAATAGCAATATCAGGCAGTACAACACTAAGAGAAATTTCTAAAGCATTTATGGAATTTTATATCTTTCAATAGAGAGCTTTGATTTTAAGTCCCTGTCCCTTTGAAGCAATGTATTGATTTTCTTCCCATTGTTCATGAGGTCACTTTATTTTTATAAGAACACTACTACAATTTGTCTATCAATTCAGAGGGAAAAAGGTAAATATACAAATTATTGCCCAGAAAAACTTCACTCTGTAAAAATAAAAAGAATATAATCTATGTTCTCAGACTTTATGTCTACTCTGTATATTTGTGACTCATAAAGCATTGTGTGGTCTGGAAATCATTACTTTTATTGTTGTTTCAGGATCAATAGCAAGCAATACACACTAGTACAAGAAAAGAGAGTCTAGAAATTAAAGGCATGTTTCTTGCCCTAAGTTCTGCCCTTCTCTTCAGCTGAAGGCAATTTTGATGCAATAAATAATAATTCTTCATGTACAATTTAAATTATTAATATATTTTTGACCCCCTATGTAAAAAAGAATTAACAAGCTCCTGGCCTAAATCACTCCTATTTTATAAACCCAGAACCACAGAATACATTTCTTTGGGACTTATTTATTCTTAGTCCCTCTTCCCAAGAACTAAGAAATGTTGAGTAAGTTCTACCCTATGCCCTGTCTCACATTCCTGTTCTACTTTCTTACGACCAGTTTGAGACTGTAATATGTTTTCTATTAACTGGAAAATGGTAAGGACAGCCTTGCTTTTAACTTGACCATCCTGTTCTCTGGTGGTCTTTCACTAGCACCTTTAACTTTCTGCTGACATTATCTCTTAAAAGAGGTGCGGTGTGAAGATAATGAAAGTCACATACACAATGACCACAGCTTCAAAATTAGTCTTGGCATTTAAAAGTTTTAATTTAGCCTAGAAGTGTCAGATGAGTTACATTTCTTCATATTGATTTTTTACTTTTACGTAGTGATTAAATGAGTTCAGTTTTGAAGGAGTAAATATTTTATGGAATTGTCCAATTTATATAGTTTATTAAAATAATGTTTCTACATTTGGGCATACATAAAGTTTTTAGATGTTCTTATTAATTTGAAATATGAAAGTGAAGGCATATTTTAAGGCATATTTTAATTTTAAGTGGTACAATGTTTTCAAATGACAAAAGGGTAAAGAGAAAAAATGTTCATAAATATCTCAACTAGAAGTAATAATTTTAAATGATAGATTTTGTTGGCATATTTATTTGTTTAGATGACACAAATCTGGAAAACATTGAATATATATTTTTGTAAATGGCTATTTTCACTTAACAATCTATTGTATTACATGTCAGTAAAACAGTTTCTGAATCTTACTTTAATTACAATTTTTAAATTTATATGGATATTACATAATTTCTGTAACTCATATATTTCTAGGCACTTAGTTCATTGTCAAGTTTCCACTTTAAATAATAATGCTGCAATATATTTGGTTTACATAAAAGGTACCCAACTTCTCTGATTATTTTGATGTTATTATGGACAAAATTATGTTTTCCAAAATTCATATATTAAAGAAGAAACCAAAACTTCTGATACTTTGAGACTGTACTAGCCTCAAGAAACATGAGAAAATAAATGTTTAGATTTTAAGCCATTCATTCTGTGGTATTTTGTTATGGTACCCCTAGGAAATTAATACAGGTGCATTTCCAGAAATATACTCACCGCATCAGCGCTTAGGAACTCTGAAATTTTGAATTCACATTCACATTTTGCTCTCCATAAGAAGCATGAAAGTTCCTGCTTTATTATGCCCTCACAAACAGTAGTTAATAATGTGTTAAAAAGCAAAAATAGAGGGAAGGGAGGGAGGTAGTGATGAGGGAATAGAGGGCTAGAGAGAGGGAAGAGAAAACAACAAAGGCATTGCTTTAAAAACAGAGTTTAACAATGAATAGAGACAGAAAGCAGTTTGGCATGAATTCTATTTTTCATCTGATTAATTCCATTTAATTTATTAAATAAATATATTTTATTAATAATATGGCCCAAAGCAATATTTTTTCTAATGTTGAAAACATGCAATAACTACTGGTTACTCATCAATAGAATATAGGGCAAGGATTTATGCAGATTTCAGTTCCTAATAATTACAAACTGCAGAATTTTTAGAGGACCTCAGAAAGGTAGTAAATATTATGTGACTTTTTAATATAAATTTTAGCAGGCAAACAAGCAATATTTTCCTGTTCAAGGATAACCAGTGGAAAATAAATACATAAGAAAAGAATGCTTTGCTTTGTAGTGTACTGAATTATAAGCAGTACTTTCCCAACACTATGAGAATTTGATAAATTTTCACACCTACATTTTTGTGAAAAAAATCTGTGATCGAAGGCAATGAAGTAGTAGAGAATGGGGGAAATTAACTAGCCAAGAGTAGAACCTCTATGATAGAAGACATTTTTTAAAATATAAACAAACTTTAAATTTTTGTAAAATAATTAATATTGCCATTTCTCATTTTCCTAAATGTCTCTCAAATGTCATTGGTTTTGCAATTTCAAACTAAACTTAGTAATTAAATTTTATGCTGACAATGTAATACAACTCCTAATTTTACAAAATCAACAATAGAGTAGACATATTTTAATGAGTCTTTGAATTTCAAAAGGCTTGCTTAGGGGAGGATCTCTTTATAGTCAAAAAATGATAAATGCTGTTAATCATTTATCATTTAATTTAATATTGTTAATTTAATATTGGGTTACACAAACTCATTTTCCTATGTGTTATGGGGATAACTAGAAGATACTGCACTAATATTAACAATATGATAGTCCTGAGACATGTTAATGATATGATTTTGTTTTCTTCATAGATGCAATAAGGCAATTAATTTTCATTTTTCAAGTGACTACTATGCCCAAGAGTAAGAATTGCATATATTTTTGTCACTTTCCAAAGTGAAATAAGATTTCCAATGAAAAATATTAATTTACACCATTATTGATTTAAATCACTGCATTTAGTTTTAATTATACATACCCTGAAGTTATAGGATAGATTTCATCACCTGTGTTTTCTGTCTTTAACTCAAAATATGCTTATACTTATTCTTATGCTCAAAATAATGCTTATGCTTACACTACATCTAGTAAATATTTTTACATGAAATATTTTTACATCATGGTGATACATGAAAAGGACCTCAAAACCAAATTAATTTTAGAAAATCCTAGACAAAAATAAGTTAACCATTTTTTTCTTGAAGAAATTCTCAGAACCACTATTTGTTAAATTTCATTGTAAATCCCCAAAGAAGGTATAGACACTTCAATATTTGCCAAAGGCCAGACTGATAATGTCAATAATTATAGGTTGGTGCAAAAGCAATTGCGGTTTTTGCTATTAAAAGTAGTGACAAAAACCACAATTACTGTTGCACCAACTTAATATCAAATGAGATTTTGGTCCTAAGGCATTTAAAGCTGTGTTGTTCTATTTACATCGCCTAGAACATAGCTCTAAGTTCTATAGTTCTGTATTCACTCCCATTGTTATTATTGTGGTTTTGACCCTACTTACCTTATTGCTGCACTATTACGACAGTTCTGCAAACATTCTCCTCTACTGAAATAAATTATCCCCACAAACTGTCTTTCTAAAATCAGATCTCATCAAGTAGGCTTTGAAATCTTGAACGAATATTCTCAGTTTAACATTTGACATCAGTGTAACATGCATCTATTATCTTTAGCAGTAGTATCTGTACATACTCTACCCTTAACAGACCCTATATGTGGGCCCTTACGTTCATTACTGTTTCCCTAATGGCACAATAAACTTTCATACCTTTGTGATTTTGTTCAGAAACACAACTACCTCACTTGTATTCTCATATTTTAGGGATTAGTTGAAACGTAACTTAGTAATATCTTTAGTTTAATTTCTCCTTTTGAAGTAATTGATTTATCAAATGTGTTCTTCTAGTAGTTTATACTTTCATTTATCACATAAAGTACCACAGAGGTACATGTGTCTCTCTTAGTGCACTATAGCAGTATACCAGCCAGGAGACATATCATAATTCAGGGAAAAGTGATATCTTCAAAAGACACCTAGTTCATGTGGTATATTTTTTAGTATGTTGCAAAAGCATATTCCTTATATCTAAATTCTAGTTTCACCTGCTATCATCTCCTATAATTTGATATGACATTGCTATCAATAGAAAGCAAACTTTGGCTGAGTAATTGTAGTAGAAAGATTTGGATTTAGAGTGAGGGTATGAAGAATAAATCAGAGTGAAGTTATGATCACACTAGTTGGTTTATTTATTAGATGCTTACTGATTGTTAGGCATCTTGCTAAGCATTCTATATACACTATCATGTTTATTTCATGATGTATTTCATGTTTATGAACGATAGAAAGGCAAGAGAGCAGTAATAAAAGAGGAAATAAAAAGGCATCTTATTTACATTTCAGAATGTTTCCCAATCCAGGTCCTACATTCACATAGCAATATGCATTTTGAACTTACTATGCTAAGAACTAGAAATGCAAAAATGAATAAGTACTATGTCCACTTTCATAGAGCATGCAAACTAGTGTTTAATGAATTGTTGTAAAAGATGTCCACAAAAATGCCATGAATGCCATGAATGACCATAGAATTCTGACTATTAGACTTGAATTGTGTCCTTCTCCAAAGATAAAAAATATACTGATATTCTAGACATCAGTACCTCACAGTGTAATCTTATTTGGAAGTAGGGTCATTGCAGATATAACTAGCTAAGTAAAAATGAGATATAACTGGAGTAGGGTGACTACTTAATGCAATACGTTTGATGCCCTAATAAGAAGATGAGAAGGAACACAGGGACACAGCACATAAAGGGACAACACCATGTGACAAAGGAGGCAGAAATTGAAGTTCTGAAGCTGCAAGCTAAGAAACAAAGGATCTCTAGCAAATCACCAGAGGCCAGAAAGAAATGAGAGAGTTCTCACCTATGGGTTTCAGAGAAACCATGACCCTGCTGATACCTTGATTTCAGGATTAAAGTATTTCCAGAACTGTGAGAAAATATTAATAAATTTTTGTTTTTCTTTGTCATTCAATTTGGAGTATTTTATTACAGCATACCTAGAAAACTAATATGCTCACATAAAAATGACAATTTCCATATTTGAGCTAGCTTATGAAATATTACTAAAGCAGTAATGTTAGTTTTCTTTGAAAATAGACATTCTTGTCAGAAAACAGGTGGAGAGCAATTTGTGGAGCAAGTAACTGATTTGTTTGGCAGATTTTTGTTCATTTACAGATTTTTTTTTTCTAACTTATATTTTAAGTTCAGGAGTACACGTGCAGGTTTGTTACATAGGCAAACTTGTGTCATGGGAGTTTGTTTTACAGATTATTTCATCACCTAGGTGTTAAGCCTAGTATCCATTAGTTATTTTTTGTGATCCTCTCCGTCCTTCCACCCTCTGCCCTCTGATAGGACCCAGTGTGTTATTCCCCTCCACGTGTCCATGTGTTCTCATCATTTAGCTCCTACTTATAAGTGAGAACATGCAGCACTTGGTTTTCTGTTATTGTGTTAGCTTGCTAAGGGTAATGGCCTCCAGCTCCATCCATATCCCTGCAAAGGACATGATCTTGTTGTTTTTTTATGGTTGCCTTGCATTCCATTGTGTATATGTACCAGATTTTCTTTATCCAGTGTATCATTGATAGACATTTAGGTTAATTCTATGTCTTTGCTATTGTGAATAGTATGGCAACAAACATGTGTGTGCATTTGTCTTTACAATAGAATGATTTATATTCCTTTGGGCATATATCCAGTAATGAGATTGCTGGGTTGAATGGTATTTCTTGTTGTTATTGTTGTTTGAGACAGAGTTTTGCTCTTGTTGCCCAGGCTGGAGTGCAATGGTGCAATCTCAACTCACCGCAACCTCTGCCTCCCAGGTTCAAGCGATTATCCTACCTCCGCCTCCCAAAGTAGCTGAGATTACAGGCGCCTGCCACCATGCCCAGCTAATTTTTTTGTATTTTTAGTTGAGACAGGGTTTCACCATGTTGGCCAGGCTGGTCTTGAACTCCTGACCTCAGGTGATCCACCCACCTTGGCCTCCCAAAGTGCTTGGATTACAGGTGTGAGCCACGGTGCCTGGCCAGTATTTCTATCTTTAGGTCTTTGAGGAATCACCACACTGTCACAGTCTTCCATAATGACTGAACTAATTTACACTCCCACCAACATAAGCATTCCTTTTTCTTCACAACCTCACCAGCATCTGTTATTTTTTGACTTTTTAATAATAGTCATTCTGACTGGTGTGAGATGGTATCTCATTATGGTTTTGATTTGCATTTCTCTAATGATCAGTGATGTTGAGCTTTTGTCATGTTATTGTCGACTGTCTTCTTTATTTTCTAGAAAGAGCAACTCTATTAAGGTATAATGTATAACAACTCCGTTACAACAGATAAGAGATCACATAGCATATGCCATAAAGAAAATTTGCTGTGTCTCTTGTTGTTTGTTCAATGATTTTTCAGGCAATCTAGCATTAACAATGAAATTATATTACAGTAATTGACTGTATAGATTTTCTTTCTCATCTTGTTACTATCTTAATGGTTATTGACATAGAGTATGTCCTTTAACTTCAACATTACACATCAACCAAAAATCAGCTTGGGCACTAAAAGGCATATTTAATTCCAAGGACTCAGCACCACATATCAGCTCTGTCGGTAATTACAAAATGTTCTACTTATCAAAATACTCAACAATTGAGCAATGTAAGTCCTGTGTTATATATCTTTCCCCAAAATACCTACTTAGATCTCTACATCTTCAATTTCTTTGGAATGCTTACGTAAGTAGAGATTATTTTGTTCGAACTTTTATTGTTTGAGAGTATTTTTTTATCTGTATTTTCTTCTCACCAAAAAAAAAAAAACATGTTTTGCTGCAATTTGCTTTACCCATAATGTGAAAGCATATTTTAGAAAAACTGTAACAGAAATAGAATTAAGATGCAAAAAGCAGATTTTTTGGAGGTAGTTGATTTAGTTGCTTCATGTAACAAGTTTAAATATTTTGTGTTATTCAATAAGCAATTTCAGGGATCAGTCCATTTTAGAAAATGATACACTCCTAAATTATTTATTGTTTTTAGTTTAATAATCTGTTAAACTTTTGAGAAGCAGTGTTATCAATATTTCATTGTTTTTGACTACCTGGCTGATATATTTATTAGGCTGTTGCAAATCTTACTCCTTCTCTTCTCAATACTCACATTGATTTGTAAGTACCAGCTGGTTATCTTTCTATCTTAGTAATCAGAATTTCTATAGTATGTTTTCTTTCCTATAGTTTCAGCTATGTTAGAATATTTAAAAACTGCTTTATGAGATTCAGTCTGTGAAGTTTGAGAGCCTTTTGCTTTTTAGACTAAAAAGTATGTGTTTTATTTATCTTGCCATTAATCAATGCAAGCACATATGGTAAGTATTCATGGGCACCTACTTGCTTGATAACTTTTATACAATTATTAGACTCCAACTGACATTTTGTGTTACTTTGCCTTCTTATTTATGCTTTACATTAACCTTTGCTTTCCAGTATGATTTGTTTATTAGAGATCTGCTTACATTACTGGATAGCCCTAGTATATTTTATCTGTCAATTCTTAAGCAATCAAGTAACCATGATGAAATAGGAAACAAATTATTTTAATAGCATAGTATCACACCCTTTTTGAAATAAAATTTTGCAGTATCTTTGCTTAAAAAGTTCTATCTGCTCTTTAGTCTTCCCCAAAGTGCCACCGGTAAAACTAAAACCTGCCATATTCAGGAAATAGCATAATTCAGAAACTTTAAATTTCTTTCCATACGATGATGACATAAAGAAAAGGTCTTTCTTGCTTTACTTGAGTATTGCTTTAGTTTTGGGTATGATGTGCATTGTACACTCTGGTATGGTTTATCAATACCAGTTATTTAAGGCAATATATACGACAAAGAAACTGGATATACACTTGTTGTAGTATATGATGTCAAGGTTTATTCATTTATATGATCTCACTTAGCTTTCTAATTGCTACACTATGTGTTGAATGTAGAAGTGAAAATTCAGTTCAAAGACTTTTTGTCAAGTTTAATTTGACTAATTTATATGATTGGTGTAGAACATTTCCATCATCCCAAAGAGTTCTGTCATTTCTGTCAGTCCTTTACCCCTGCCCTATGGCCCCTGCTTTCTAGCACTTTGTTTTTGCCCTTTCTAGAATTTATATAAAATGAATCAAACTGTATTTGGTGTTTTGTATCCGAAATTCTTCACTCAGAATAATGTACTTGAGAGACATCTATTTTGTTATGTCAGTACGTTATTCTTATTTATTGCTGAGCAGAATTAATTATTTCACAGTTGTCTGGATTAAATATATATACATATATACTATATTTATTATTATACACATATCTTTTAAATCATCTGTAATAATTGTAAGGAAATATTTTATGTGCCTTTTTATGTGACTTCCTTTAATATTTTCTGTAAATATGTTTGCTGAAATATTTTATATTAGACAAATATATTCCTATTTAATGGATTATATGCTATATTTTGAAGAAAAATATTTCAACACTATTTTGTAAAAATATTAATGAAATAATGAAATATTGGCAAATGATGACATTTACTAAATAATGTATCATTATTTTTTACCCTAGTCTAACACTAAACATAATAAAATTGTTTAAATTAATTAGAAATTCTTGTATTCACCTATAGTAAAAGTGCAGGTAACATTCTTTATTACTAGGAGATAAATTCATTGAATCTGTTTTTATTTGAATATATAATTAAAATCTTGTCATAAATATTCAGCAGGCTTAGATTCTCATGCTATATGGCTGAGCAATTTTAAGAAATGGTTTTATAAGATAAATTGATAATATTGAAATGCCTATCTGTAAGTATATACTGGTATTTCCACTATCTAACACACTAAATGTGTGTAATTCTTCTAAAACCTAGGAAATTATTTTACTAGAAAGACTTCTACCCTATATGACAATATCCTCTGGGAAAATGCAAATGAATTTTTTTTCCCCAAGTAAAACATAGAAGTTTCACAGGATACTGACTAGCTTTTACTTTACATACAATGTTCTTAAACTTCAATATTTGAGTTTTCAAATTTCACTAAATTAAAGAGAGATAGCTCAATGCAACAGCAAAGAAATTGAAAAATGTATGAAGTAACTTATTAAAGCAAATCAAGAAACTAAAGTTCTACATAACTTTGACACAAGAATTCCTATGTAATTTGAGATTGCTTAGCATGTTATTAATCAGTATGGCTCACATTACTCTCAGGGTATTGCTTAACTTATTACTGTTACAAAATTACATATGTACATAATAATGAGTCATAAATATAATAATAAACATAGCAGGGCATCATTGTCATACATGTCTAAAAAGGGTGTAATATTTTTGGAAAATTCCTATGACAAAGAGTTAGACAAATTTTCTTGCACAGAAGAAGTAACATTTACTTATGTGCCATTTTGAAAAACTATCAGAAAAAATTGAATATACATGTATGTTTTCATATGAGCAAAGCATTAGAGAAGAAATGGCTAGCTTTCAATGTTCATATTAGTAGACTGAAACTATATAATTCTCACAGCTTCCATAAAAACAAAAGAAGATTATCAAGTTATTAACTTCTTTACATCATTAAAATGTATAAAACTAATAAATCATATCCTGGCTTACTTTTTGTTGTTAATTCATATGTGTATATATATATTTTTCTATTTCCATATCCAAATTAAATTGCAGAAGTGGATTTATCAGATAAATCATCATTTTCCAGATAAATGGTCTTCTTCTAAATATTTTACTCAATACCTAAGATTTTCTAATTTTCTTATTTCCCTGATATTTTTCAATTTTTTTATATATACATATATAAAACTATATATAAATATATATATTTGTTTATGGAATTTCACCATTTCTAGTACTCGTTTTCAAAATCTGCTTTAAAAATGTATAGTGATTTATAGCTGATGAATTGAGACATTTTTGTTTCAGGTTGGTATCGTATTATCCTAGTTGTTATTTTTAGATACTCAACCGACTTTCATTGATCACTTACAGCAGAATGGTCAGAAACATCCCACCTATAATATTTTAAATTTACATTTCTCATTGATTTTGTGCTAATGTATTGAATTAATGTATTTGTTGGATTTATTCATACTTTTCATCTTACGCCATTCAGTGAACAGCTACTATATATAAATTTTATAAACTCTATATAGCAAAAGTAGGGCCTACTCATGTAAGATAAAAGAGACACAGAAAATTTTGTTTGAACAGTGCTTCCAAATTTCTTGGGATTTATGACCAAATATGAAGTCATTATAGTTGATATTTACAGCATTTTTTGTTCTTACACTGAAGGAAATGCATATAATTATTTTGTTTCTCTGTCATTTCCCATGTTTGCTAAAAGATAAATCCCAAATTTTATTTAAATAATTTTCCTTCAGAATGTAACAGGGTCACAGGGACTGTACTTGTATAAAGAGAATATGCTATTAAGATTTAGTCTTCTGCAGCTAATCATTTTTATATAAAATGTGACGAGAATTTTTCCAGGAGCTTTTATGCAACTGAGAATTCAGACTGTGACTGTATATGTGAGAACATGGCAAAAAATAATCTCCACTCAATGTCTTTCATATCTTGGAACTGATTCTTAACAATAAAGCCTCATTTAACATGCTTTATGAGCAACACTATCCAGTGATTTAGAATTTATTTTCTGTTTCAAATGGTTGCTTAGTGCTTATTAGGAGAGGTCTAAAATGCTGTAGACTCCTAGCATAAAATCTTATGGGTAAGTTGCTTATTAGGAGAGGTCTAAAATGTTGTAGAATCCTAGCATACAATCTTCTGGGCAGGAAGACCATGGCTGAGGTATCAAGTAATCCAAACTGCCAATTCCACCTGTATTGTTCCTTGCTCACTTCCTTCATGTTCATTTAATTCACTAACTTCATTTCTCCAATCTGTTATCTAATACTTTGTCCACCTGTTTTACTTCACTTTTGCACCCTGCCTTAAATTGCCCAATACTCACCAATGAGAGACATAAGTGAGTCCCTTTCACTTCAGTCTAAGTTATGAGCTTTGATTCTGGAGTGAGGGCCTGTCTTGACTTAGAAATGACCTAAAGACTTCCAGGGTGTGATGAATCTGCTAAGCCTCCAACCTGTCTTTTACTCTGAATGCTATTGCTTTAGCTCAGAATACACAATGTGAAGCTTAAAATTCTTCAATAATTAAGGACATAATTTCAAGAAAATAAAGACAATAAACCACTAGATGAAGGGAAAGCCCAATTCCTGTTGCAATGCTTAGTAGTGGTCATGCTAACTGGAGTAAGACGATATCAAATTGTGGTTTTGATTTGCCATTTTTTTATGATTCCTGATGTTGAGCATCTTCCATATACCTGTTGGACATTTGTATATATTCTTTTCAGAAATACGTATTTAGATCACTTGCAGACTCTTTAATGGGATTGTTTGAAATTTTTCTGGTGAGTTGTTTGAGTTTTTTGTATATTCTGGATATTAGTTTTTTGGTGATGAATATTTTGCAAACATTTTCTCCCATTCAACAGGTCGTCTCTTTACTATGTTGGTTATTTCTTTTCTAGTGTAGTAACTTTTTAGTTTAATATAGTTTTAATTGCCTATTTTTGTTTGTTTGTATGTGTTCTAGGGCATCTTAGCTATAAAATGTTTGCTTAGACCAATGTCCTGGAGTGTTCTCCCTATATTTTCTTCTAGTAGTTTTAATGTTAACAGGTGATATATCTCAGTCTTTAAGCCAGTTTGATATGGTTTTTGTATAGGTGAAATGTAGGAGCCTAGTTTCATTCTTATGCATATGGGTATCCAGTTTTCCAAGTAACATTTATTTTTATTTTTGAGATGGAGTCTTGCTCTATCGCCCAGGCTGGAGTGCAGTGGCACAATCTCGGCTCACTGAAACCTCTGCCTTAGCCTCCCGAGTAGCTAGGATTACAGGCACCTGCCACCAAGCCCGGCTTAATTTTTGTACTTTTAGTAGAGCTGGGTTTTCAACATGTTGGCCAGGCAGGTCTTGAACTCATGACCTCAAGTGATTTGCCTGCTTCAGCATCCCGAGCTGCTGGTATTCATGTAACATTTATTGAGGAGAGTATCCTTTTCCCAGTGTATGTCCTTGGTGCCTTAGTTGTAAATTAGTTGGCTTTTAAACCTCTGGTTTATTTCCCGGTTTTCTATTTTGTTCCATTAGTTTGTGTCTGTTTTTATACCAATACTATGCTATTTTGGTTCCTATAGCGTTGCAATATATTTTGAAGTCAGATAGTGTGATGCCTCTAGCTTTGTTCCTTTCGCTCAGGATTGACTTGGCTATTTATGCTCTTCTTTTTCATTTTAGGATTGTTTTGTTTGTTCCAATTCTGTGAAGAATGGCATTGGTATTTTGATAGGAATTGCATTGAATCTATAGATTTCTTTGAGAAGTATGACTATTTTTACTACATTAATTATTCTGATATATGAGCATGGTATGTCTTTTCGCTTTTTGTGTCATCTCCAGTTTCTTTCATTAGTGATTTATAGTTTTCCTTGTAAAGGTATTTTACCTCCTTGGTAAAATCTTTTTCTTGGTATTTTATTTAGTGGTAGCTATTGCAAATGGTACTACCTTTTTGTTTTTTTGTTTTTTTTCAGCTAGTTTGTCATTGGTGTATAGAAATGGCACTGATTTTCGCACGTTGATTTTGTATCCTGTGACTTTACTAAATTTGTTTTTCAGTTGTAAAAGTTTTCTAGTGGAGTCTAGACTTTCCTAGATATAAGATCAGGTCATCTGCAAAGAAGGACACCTTGATTTCCTATTTTCCAATTTGGATGCTTTTTATTTATTTCTCTTGCTTGATTGTTCTGACTTCCATTACTATGTTGAGTAGTAATGGCATTCTTGTCTTGTTCTAGTTCTTAGACGAAAGGCCTTAAGCTTTTTCCAATTCAGTATAATGTTAGCTGTAGGTTTATCATATATGGCCTTTATTATATTGAGATTTTTTTTCTATGCTGAGATACTTGAGCATTTTTATCATAAAAGAATGTTGAATGTTATGAAATGATTTTTCTGCATCTATTGAGATGATAGTTTTTTGTCTTTCATTTTATTGATGACTGTCTTTCATTCTATTATGTCTATTAATTTGTGTATGTTGAACTAATCTTTCATCCCTGGGATAAATCCTACTTTATCACGATAAATGATTTCTTGATATACTGCTGTATATGGTTTCCTACTATTTTGTTGAGAACTTTTCTGTCTGTCCTCATTATAAATGTTGGCCTGCGGTTTTCCTTTTTTGTTGAGTTCTTGTCTGATTTTGGTATCAGGGAAATGCTAGCATCATAGAATGATTTGGAAGAATTCTGTCTTCTTCTACTTATTGGAATAGTTTGAGAATTCGTATAAATTCTTCTGTTAAAGTTTGGTAGGATTAGGCAGTGAGGCCATCAAGTCCTGGGCTTCTCTTTGTTGGGAGACATTTTACTGCTGTTCAAACTTGTTACTTATTTTGGTATGTTCAGCTCTCTATTTCTTTCAGATTCCTTCTTGGTAGATTGAATGTGACCAGGAACTTATCCATTTCCTCTGGGACTTCCAGTTTTTTAGTATATACTTGTTCAAAATAGTCTCTAATGAGCTTTTGTATTTCTGTGATACCCATTGTAATGTCTCCTTTTTCATTTCTAATTTTATTTGGATCTTTTATCTTTTTTTCTTCATCAGACTAGCTAGTGGTTTATTGATTTTGTTTATCTTTAAAAAAACCCTTTTTATTTTCTTGATCGTTTGTATTAATTTTTTAGTCTCTACTTTATTTTGTACTGCCCTGAACTTTGTTGTTTCCTACTACTAATTTTGAGTTTGTGCTTTTGTAGTTCCTTGAGATGCACTTAGATTGTTTCTTTGAAATCTTTCTACTTTTATGACGTAGACATTTATTGCTGTGAACTCTCATATTGGCATTGCCTTTGCTGTGTCCAGTAAGTTTTAATATTTTGTATTTTGTGTTTCCATTTTCAGTTTCAAGGAATATTTCCTTCTTAATTTCTTCCTTAACCCAATAGTCATTCAGAAGCATGTTGTTTGATTTTTATGTATTTGATAAGTTTCCAAAGTTCCTCTTGGTATTGAACTCTCTAACATATGGCATATTCTGGAAAATGTCCCATGTGCTAAGGAGAAGAATGTGTGTTCTGAGGTCTTGAAAAGAAAGTTCTGTAAATATCTCCTAGGTCTATTTGGTCTAACGTGCAGTTTAAATCCAGTGTTTCTTTCTTAATTTTCTGTCTAGATGGTTTGTCTAATGCTGAGAGTGAAGTGCTGAAGTATTCAAGTATTATTATATTGGAGTCTCCCTTGAGGTCTAATAATATCTGCCTTATATATCTAGGTGCTTCAGTATTAGGTGCATATACATTTGGAATTGTTATATCTTCTTGCTAAGTTGATCTCTTTATCATTATATCATGACATTCTTTATCTTTATTTACTGTTTTGACTTAAAGTCTGTCTTACATGTATAGCTACTCCTGTTTATTCTTGTTTTCTGTTGCATGAAATGTCTTTTTCCACCCCTTTACTTTCAGTCTATGTGTTTCTTTACAAGTGAGACAGGTTTCTTATAGGAATCATATAGTTGGGTCATTTTTTTTAAATCCATTCAGCAAGTCTATAACTTTTAAGGGGAAATTTTAATCCATTTACATTCAAGGTTGTTGTTGATATGTAATGGCTTATTACTGTCATTTTATTAATTGATTTCAGGTTGTTTTGTATAGCCTTTGTTTTTTCTCTCTCTTATTGTTTGTTATTGTTGTTTGGTGGTTTCCTTTAGTGGGGACATTTGAGTTGTTTCTCTTCCTTACTTGTATGTTTTCTCCATCAGTCGATTTTATACATTTGTGTGTTGCCATGGTATTAGATAGCATCTTTTTCCTTCTAGGTTACAACTCATCTAAGCATTTCTTGTGCTATTAGTCTAGTATGAATTAACTCAGGTTTTACATGTCTGGGAAATAATTTATCTTCCCTCCATTCATAAAGAATAACTTTGTTGGGCATAGTATTCTTAACTAGTTGTTCTAAAATGTTAGTACTTGAAATATATTATTTTATTCTTACCTGGCCTGTAGCTTTTCTGCTGAGAAATCTGCCATTCATCTGATGGGAGTTTCTTTATCAGTGATTAGACACTTTTTCTTGCTGCTTTTAGAATTATCTGTCATTGATTTTTGACAGTTTGATTATAAAATGCCGTGAAGTAGACATTCTTGAATTTTATCTATTTGGAGATATCTGCCCTTTCTGTATCTGGATGTCTAAATCTCATGTTAGACTTGTGAAGTTTTCTGCTATTATTTTGTAATACAAGTTTTCTATCCCTTTAATTGTTTCTTTGCCTCTGAGACACCATAAATATTTGTTCACTTTATAATATCTCATATTTAATGTAGGCTTTGTTATTTTTTTCTTTATTTTTTTCTGACTAAGCAATATCAAAAGACCAGTTCTGAAGGTCTGAGATTATTTCTTATGCTTGATCTAGTATGCTGTGGAAGTTTTCAAGTGTATTTTTAATTTCTTCCAATGAATTCTTTAGTTTCAAATTTTCTTTTTTAGTTTTTCATGACATCTCTTTGACAAATTTCCCATTCATATCCTGAATTCCTTTTCTGATTTATTTGAAATGTTTATCTTTTATTCTGTATCTTACTGAGTTTTTAAATATCATTATTTTGAATTCTTTTATGCATTCCACACACTATATTTATTTTTTCTGAATCTCTCTGATTTATTAGAGGTTTTCTTTTCCTTTCTTTTTAACACTAACAACCTCAGAGTCCTAATTTCCAGTGTCTTATTGTAAGGCTTATGGGCTATTATAAGCATTATTATGATGTGTCCAGTAAATTTAATTTTAACATTGCTATTTACTGAAGTAAAATTATGTTTTTCAAAGTTAGCCTTTCTTATAATACCAATCTTATACATAAAACAAAAGTTTAAATATTTGAAATTTGTAAATTAAAATACTCTATGTTAGTTAGATAAAAAAATCTTTTTATAACGATTACCTGAATTTAAAATTAAAATTGCAAAAATTCAACAGCCAGGGAACTACATTTGCTTTAGCAAATACTTCCCATAAAGTTTCCAGGTAACACTTATAAAAATCTTTAAATCCCTCTACAAATATTTCAAAACGTCATCTACTTTCTTGTAAACGGTTATAATTTTTAGTTTTTAATGTCTATAAATATTACTTCTATTTTAAGAAAAAAGGTTTGGAGATTTTTTTTTCATATTACATCGGTAATGAAGTATTTTTAAATAATAAAATATTTACTTTGAATTTTTTTCAACAATGCCTTTTTCAATAATGAAGACAGAAACATTATTTGGTGGTACTGGAAAGAATGAATATGATTATCGGGATAGTTCCAAGAACATATTATTTCTAGTTCCTTAAAAAGTGAGCATCACCAGGCCGGGTGTGTTGGCTCACACCTGTAATCCCAGCACTTTGGGAGGCTGACACAGGTGGATACCCAAGGTCAGGAGTTCAAGACCAGCCTGGCCAACATGGCAAAACGCTGTCTCTACTAAAAATACAAAAAAATTAGCCAGGTGTGGTGGCTGGCGCCTGTAATCCCAGTTACTTGGAAGGCCAAGGCAAGAGAATTGCCTGAACCCAGGAGGCGGAGGTTGCAGTGACCCAAGATCACGCCATTGCACTGCAGCCTGGGCAACAGACTGAGATTCTGTTAAAAACAAAAACAAAAACAAAAAAACCCCAAGCATCACCAGAAAGAAGACAATGTATATCTATGTATATGTATATCATAAGTGCTTCCTTGATTCCAATTAGAAAAGTCAATTATTTTGCAAGGTGAGCTCCTATAAATGGGCTATCATTGTATTTGCTTCAGAGGGAGTGGTTGGAACAGAGCCATTAAAAGAAGGCATGACACATTGGATCTGACACTGTAGGGAATGAATCTCCTTTATTCTAAGGCCTGTAAAGCCATACTCGCATTCTTTGTCTTTGAATTGTTTGTGTCTGTGCAGGATCTTTTGCTTTTAGGATTAACAGGAAAAATACGAATTTGTTTTGTGAAGTAACAGGCCTTTTGTACAACAATTATGCAGAATTTAGACCTTGGGCCACCTGAGAAGAAAGGCATGTATCCTAAATGAGTTACCTAATTCTTTCTGTTAACATCCCCCTAAAAATGAGCAGATTTGAGCTCTGATTTATGGATCTCATAAATAACATTCTTATCTTCAAAAGAGACATCTTGAACATCCCATTAGCCACAAATGGAATTTATTCTCCTGTTGTTTCCTATGTATCTCAGTGTCATAAAAGAAGAGAGGTCTTATTGGCACTCTGTGTAACTTTGGGACACTCGACGGGAAAATAATAAAACCTATAGTGATGGGCAAGTTCTATGACATACTCTTAAGAAGAAAAACCTAGTTATTATTCATAACTGTGTATGAAGTCATAGGTCTAACACCATCAATTCATGAAACATTTCTACTACCACTATCCCACATGGGATCCTATCTGGCTCCCTACATATATATTATTAATAAAAATATCTTTTGTCTTCTAAAAGTAAAAAAACCCATATTTAATATGTGATTATTTTCTTACCATAAGTATATAAAAGATAATAAAAGTACCAAAGTGAGTTATTGTTCAACAAATATAGAATTTCACATTTCTGAGATGAAAAATTTCTAAAGATCTGTTGGAAAACAATGTGCATATAGTTAACACAAGTAGGTATCAATACAGCTCATCCATGTTCTTATAGTTTTACTCTAGAAGTGTGTAACCCTAGGTATTATACTAAATGAAATATATATTTATGCTATTTTTTTAAAAGTTAACACAGTAACATAACATCTTTCAATAAATGATAAAAATAAAGACAATTAAAATTCCCAATTATACAGTATGGGGAAGTGCTGTCTGCCTTAAATTTCTAGAATTTTTAAGTGGTCTTTGGCTCACATTTTTGGGTAATTGTCATATTACTTTCTTTTTTTTTCATTTCTTGGTCAGTGTGTAGTTTGCTAGTGCTGCAGTACGGAAGTCCACAAACTGGGTAGCTTAAACAACAGAAATTTATTCTCACATTTCTGAAGGTTAGAATTCTAAGATTGAGGAATTGGCAGGGTTGGTTCCTTCTGAAAGGTGTGAGGAAAATCTGTTTCATACCCCTCTCCTAGCTTCTGGTGGTTAAATGTTCACTGTACATTTTACCTCTCATTTTCCCCTTATAAGGAAGGTGACTAGGTCATCGTGAAGAGCTAATGATGAGCCTTAGTAGACTGGGGTAAACATCATTTAGCAGACGTTAAACAAATGTCTGTAATGTCTTATAGGGGAAAAAACTGCTGTATTTCATTGTAGACTCCTATTCTTAGCTAATTTCATAAGCCAACGCTGGCATGCAGTGGTAGCCTTCACATCAGAAACAATATCCTTTCCTCTGTGCCAGTCTGTGTTGATGGATGGCTTGCCTTGTCCATATGATCCAAGCAATGAGAGGGCAATCTAGGTGTTACTTGCTCAGTCAGCACTGAGATTTCAATCAGTCTCATGAAAGAACGAGATTTTATATTTATGGAGCATCAGATTTCAACACACATATAAGTATATTATAATTGCCCTTTGTAATTGAGAGAAACATGAATCCACTTGGACAGCATGGAAAGTTTACTACAGCCTATAAAAAGGCCACCTCACTAAACCCCAGCTAGGCATCAGCACAAACAAAATACTAGAATATTTTCACTTTTTCCTCTCTTTTTAAATGTAAAAAAAGAAAAAAAGTCACATTTCTACCAGATATGTTATAAGGTCATATAACAGCCTTTATGAGCTATTGACTCAAGATAACTAATCCCTGAATTTAAAATAACATATGAAAATGCCGTAAATACTGGACCCGAAGAAAATATAATGGAAGTAATTTGTTTTGGAATACACACCACCTGAGATATGCCCTATTCTAGTATATCTTTAGTACCTCTTCTAGATGCCAAGTCTCCTCTTGCTATTATCAGTAACTCAGTAGGCCACTGGGAATTTGCAGACATTAAGATACATAGTTTCTATTATTTTCCTAATTTCCTGCCCTAGTCATCCTTCACTAACTTACTATGCAATAATCTTTATATTCTACCCCACCAATGTCTTTTAATATAATAATACAATAAGTTAAATTATTTTCCTGCTCCTGCTAAAGCTAGTCAGTGCATTACTTGACTAGCTTCAGCCATTATGAGAAATCGTTAAATAAAATGGGATTAGAAGGTCTTATCTTGGCCCTATTACTTATTCGCTATCTGGAATAAATAAATAAGATATCCTAAACTTCATTTTCCTTCTCTAAAGATTGGAGATAATAACTATTTCTTTGTAAAATTCTTACAATTATTTATCATAAATATAAAATGAAACAGAGTATCAAAGATATGTGTAAACAGTAAAATGTGAAGTAAATAGGTAACATAAGTAGGTGATACTATAGGCTGGCAATTACAGACTGATTTCTGGGCTTCCAGGGAGGTATTTTTTACTTGGAAAAAAAAAAGAAAATAGACAAGAATTTCTCATCCTTAGCCTTGGGAGCTTGTCTTCCGCAATGCAATAAATCTACAGGTTTCAAAATAAATCACCATTGTTGCTGTGTCAAGGCTGATATTTGCATAAGACCTCTCTGCCTTGGGCTAGCCCAGAACACTACAGCATAGGCAAGCACCACAGCTCCCTAACTCTCAGAGTCCATATAAGGCTAACTACTGTGGGATCTGTTCTGCCATCTCTGTTTCTTTAACTTTGCCTTCAGGATGCCAACAGTGTTCCCCAGTAATTTATTTGTCCTATGATATTACTTGTTATTGAGTGGGTGGTTAAGGATGTAAAAATTATTTTTTCTCATTTTGAGAGATTTTATTTTCTCCCATAGCCATCATTATTAAGGTGTCAAATGCTGTACTGAGTAATATTAAAACCACAATCTCATCTATTTCTTATTACTTTAATCATATAACATAGTGATTACTATAATTCATATTTTACCAGTGAGAAAGCTAAGGCACAGATGAATTCAATCACTTATGTGGCTAATAATGCTACAGCGGGTTTGGAATCCGAACATCAAACTCCAGGGTTTAAGCTCTTAACTTTATCATATTGTTTCATATTTTCCAAGATAATCACTGACAGTTAATAAGTCTGGTCCCAAATTATTTGTTTATGATTGTTAGGAATAAAATGTTAGGTAAAAATACTGCACTAAAAGACATCATCTAGTCATTAATTTTACTCCATTTCTCAGATTTAGGGCCTTAATATTTTCCCCTTAGTAATATTATTTTTTTAGTAATTTATACAAACCTCTTTAGAGTTAATCTCATGTATTTTAATAGCAACAGTAGATCAAAATCATTGACTGCTTAGAAATAATGGAGAAATTTTAAATTAAATTTAAATCTTAAGTGTCCAATGTTGACACAAATGAGAGACACATCTACCTTAATTATGAAGTCTGTTAAATTACTCTCAATTGGAAGACTATCTAGCAATTTGTTTCTAAATCAGTTGGTCACAAGAGCTTATTTGAGCTGACTAAAAGTCAGCATAACATTTTTAGAATAATTTTAACTTTGTTTCCATAGCAATAGTTTTGTATGCAAGATAATGCCATCAATACCCAGGGGCTTGTAGTTTTTGTTGTTTATAGACATCAGTGTTACCTATGAAAAAATCATGTGTCTGAAGTACTTGAGTTTTTATGTAAAAATCAAAGCACTATCTTATTTTAATATGTCTATCATTCTCTTCTTGAATAGGATCGTTATGTTGAATCACATAAGTTAATTCTTCTTTGCTTTACTTGATGTTTTTATCTGAAGTGCAATAAGCATCATTAGTAAATATTATTCTATAGATACTGGTATTGAAGACTAGGTGAATTATACAACTCTAAATATGATACGGAAAATGTGAATAGATTGAAACATTTCATAAAAAACAGCACATTTGAAAAGAATGTGAAGATTTGGACAAACTCAATATGAGTCACATTGATAGATAAAGTATCTTCACCACTCCTGTCCTCTATCTTTAATGAAAGTATTCTGTCCTAAGAACAGAAAGGTAGACTCCTCAAATTTTACTAGTCAAATCATGTCTTAAGTATGATGTTCACTTTTAGCTCTTATTCTGAGACAAACTAAAGAAATGTAGTGAAGAGAGTTAATTGTCGAATATCTTAAAACAATTCAATTGTTAAAGAAATGGAAGAGGTATAGGTTGGGGGTGAAAATACACAACAATGGATTTGAAGATCACAGCTCTCTTCAAATTATTGAGGACTTGCTCTTTGTGTCTTTTGAGCTCAGATAGAGTCTCCATTAGTTATGTGAAATTATACGGAAGTAATTTTTGACACCAAAGAGGACTCTGATGTTTACTTCCTCTTCTGTAAGTACTTCACTGGATCATTATATAAATCCTGACCTTTAAAACTCCAACATATTTAATAAATACATATATATTTAAAAAATCAGTCTTTTTAATAGATGAATGAGTTGTGGTTCAGAGAGGAGAGGTAACTTGCCAAAGTTCACGCAGCTCCTAGTTGTTGGAGTTTAGCTTGTACTGCCTGTGCCGTGTTTCTTTCTTTGTCCCAAGCTACCTCCCTATAGGCTCTTATACTCTGAGGAATGTTATATGGACGATACTGGTACTTTTTTCTTCTTAAGTTTACAAAAGAAATTAAAAGTCTTTTGGATTGCCTCAGTTTTCAATAAAACTCCTTCTCTATTTAATATTAATTGTTTGAAAACATTTCCCAAGCATACACATTTTTATAACCAAATTAGGAATATTGATTTTAAAAATCTTCAAATTTCCTTACAATATATAGTAGGTGTCCCCAACCCCTGGGCCACAGACTGGTACCACGCTGCAGACTGGTAGCTTTCTGTGGCCTGTTAGGAAGTGGGCTGCACAGCAGGAGGTGAGTTGCAGTTTAACTAGCATTACCGCCTGAGCTCCGCCTCCGGTCAGATCAGCTGGGCATTAGATTCTCACAGGAGCAAGAATCCTATTGGGAACTGTGCGTGAGAGGCATCTAGGTTGCACTCTCCTTATCAGAATCTAACTAATGCCTGATGATCTGAGGTGAAATAGTTTCATCCCGAAACTACCCCCGACTCTGTCTGTGGAAAAACTATCCCCACAAAACCTGGTGCCAAAAAGATTGGGGACCACTGATATGTAGGGTTCCAATTATTTTGGAAGACATGAATTAAGAGACTGGTTGAAGTTCACTAGGCGTTCTTTGCTTCTAAGGTAGGTACTGTGTTTCTTTAAATTATGCTTCTATAATGATTTTACAAAGGGTTAAGTAACTGAATAACTAGTTCTATTGTTAAATATAATGGATTTATGTTCATTTCTACATTGTTCCTTTTATGAAATACATGTCTTTCCAATATAATGCATTTTGTTTTCAGATTTTCTGGGTCACAAAATCCTGAGTTTATTTGTCTATTTTAAGTGAGGGTCTGCAAACTAATTCTAAATATTGCCATACTTGCCCATAATGATTTACAGAAAATCTGTAGTCAATATTTGCTCAATAAACAAACAAATTTTAAAAGCCTCTTATATCCAGTGTAGCATGTATTAGTGACTGTTCTTCAAAGTTCCTAGTTCTATTCTTAAGTTAATTGTTATAAGCAATATAATGTGTGTGTGTGGGGGGGGGGTAAAATAGGTAGGGTTAAGGAAGTAAAAGAAACAGGGTTACAACTATCTTGATCAAAAAAAGAGCAACTGAGCCAGCTTCAGAAATTGATTTTTCCTATTGCTATTGTTGATTGATTAATAGGATCAACTTTACTTGGTTAGTTCTTTTATAAAAGGGTGGCTAGTTATACAAACAAAGATTGTGTTTTAAACTCATTACTCTCTAAATATGATCCTCAACTCTCTGATTTAGAGTGAGCTCAAGTTACTAATCCAACAATTCACTTGACTGTGAAAACATCTCATGCAATTCCAAATAAAATAATATGACATTACTATGCAAATATATTGTCTAAATTCTGTGATATGGTACCCCTGCAGAGCTCTGACCTAAATGGATTGAAAAAACTGGGAAAAAAGTAAACTGATTTAATGATATGACTATAGGATCAGTATATGTGTGTATATAGAATTAGTTTTGAAAATGCAAAGCTATTATTATGAATAACATAATAATACCTTTGTACTAAGTAATATTTATTCTGAGCACTTGTCTGGCCTTGATAAGATACACTTCGAGGCATTAGGGTACTTACAAAACAAAATATATTGCATATTTTGTTTTATTGCATAAAATAAATCCATGTATTCCAGATCTCTTACCTGTCACATAAATTAAGCCACAAGTTATCTTTAAATGTTTGAATATGTAATACTCATATTTAGAACTACTAATAAAATAGGTTATAAAAATAGAATTTTTTTATTACTTTTAACTATTAAAGACTTCATATTAGCTCTTATCCTGATGGTTGAAAAGAAGGTCCATAATTTTACTGGCAAAAATAATAAAAATAAAAACATATATATAGTCATCCCAAATGATAGCAGTCTTCAAGGATAAATACATAAAAAAAATTATAATGTGTTTTATTTAGATATGTATATGCTGCATCTAAAGGTGGATCCATAGCAAATGAGAGAACCTGTTACAACTACAATGAGAACATATTTTTACAGTAAAAAGTATCTTTGGAAATCATTGGTTGGTTAATTTTCATTTTCTTTACATCTAAATTACACTATGTTATGGTAACTATGTATGGCAATTAACATCCCTTTTTTGTGGCAGGCAAAATTCTAAAATGTCTCTCGTGATTTGCACACCCTGGCATTTCTCCCTTATGTTATTGCACTTGGCAAAAATGATTTTCCAGATGTAATTAAGGTCATTTGCCAATTAATGTTAAAAGGAGGAAATTATATGAGTAGGGCTAACCTAATCACTTGACCCTTTCTATAGAAGACGGTCTGATCTTCAACTATGACTCACACTGATCCCACAATAGTCCTTCTGTGATGCACATCTAATCTTCTGCTTATAACCTTTCCACGTTAATTATAGCTTTCAGAATAAGATTCATAGATATTTGTTTATCACACATAACAGTTCGTAATTTTCTTTTATTCTTTTTAGACTCATCTTCTATCATTCCTTCAAACACATTATTTTTTTCAGGTATACTTCAGTACTTGAATTTTGGAAGACATTTTTGTTTCACAAGTCTGTGTTTTATGTTTCAATATGTTTGCTCCTTCTCCTACTACTCTCATAGTCCTTTTACTTCTATACTGTAAACATCAGTTTACTTATCACTCTATGTCATTTGATGCTGACTGAGTTCTTTGAGGATGCCTACTGCCAAGCAACAGTTTGATACCTTGTGATCTACTTTATCAAATATTTGAAGAGTCAGAAAAAAAAGACAGGAAATAAGAAAAACCAGTATTCATATAGGGCTTTGTATCATGCCAGGTGTTTTCATTTTGCATAATTGGTACTTTGAAAGAGAGATTAAAGCAAAGTATCAATACTACTCTGAAAAGAAACCAAAATAATATTAATGCAGCTGATGGACATTGACTTAAGCCTTAAAAGAGAGATAAATTTTTTAGTAGTGTGAATGATATTATAGGACATAAACCAAGGTACTAAGTCAGGAAGGCACAGATTGTGGTTAGGGAATAGAAATATAAATTCTATTTTATTAGGCATTTACATATACAGTATTGAGAAATAATGGTAGTATGTAAATAGATTTGGGTCATGATGTATAATGCTTTTAGGAACAAGTAGGAAAATCTATAATTAATTCTAAAAGCAATAGGAAGTCAGTGAAGATTACTTTTCACTTTTTGAGACTAATTCTCTGTTTAGGAAAATTATCTAAAATTCTCTTTCATCACCCAAAAATGAGATTTATCAATATCCAACTTTGAAATTTTATTTAAATGTAAGAATATTTCAAATTATTACTAGTAAGGGAATCTATAAAATAGTTGTGTTTTCTGTTAGCTCCACTAATACATTATAAGAAACTTGGATGTACCTTTTATCTTTTCTCCCCAAATCACCTAGCACATTGTCTTATTCAGATAAGATGATCAATAAACATTTTCTACATTCAACATTCCTATGGTGTGCTAGTCATCAAAATATTAGCATTTAACAAAATACACTTAATTCAGAAATGTAATGAAATCCAGCTTACTCCCGTTTTTAAGTTTTCCCAAGGTACTCCAGAATTTTGTAGATATCTGAATAATTACTGTAATATCAACTGTCACTCTTTATAATTAAAAAATATGCATACATGAGATTTTTCCTGTTTTCATTTCTTAATGTATGTAGTACTTATTAAGGAGTCTTTGTTCAAGGAACAAGTCAGAGTTAGACCTATACTTATGAAATACTGCCATTCATATTTACCTTACTATTTTATACTTTTAATCTATTTAAGATGTTTTGTACATTTATGATTCTACCAAAAAATTCCAAGAGTTTTCTATTGAGTGTACCAGCTCACAGGCTCTTTAGAAAAGAGTTCTTATATTGCTGCATTCTGTTATCCCTATAGGCATTTTTTATACTTGTTCTACCTATATGTACTGCTGTTTCTGTTAGTAGGTTGGAAGAATGACAACTTTGTGCATCAAAGCTATGCAGGGAAGTTGGTAGTGCTCTTTTACAGTTAACATAATTCTTGCTGTTTTTCCAGTCCTCTGTCCTCTAGGCTGTGTTGCATACATAATAATGCAAGACTGGAGGACACCAATAGCATCTGCAAATGACAAGATACCTTCAGATGAAGCCTAATTCCAAAAAGATTAAATAGTTATCCACATGTAGATTATATAAACTTTTAGGAGGTAAGTATTGCTTCAATAACTGACCTCATTAATACAATTGCCATTATCAACTGCTTAAATTAAAAAAAAATCAAGCCAATGAAAATTTCTTGAGCATCTTTTATTGTGTGAAGTATTTTCCTGGGCGACTAGGGTAAAATACATTAAAAATATATGTAGATATACATACCTTCTGGATTGTGGCTAAGATTATTTTCAAATTATCACTATTGTGTCTTTGCATCTTTTTATTTTTCCACTTTCACATTTCTTGTGGTTAAAGCTTATATATTTAAGAGAGTTCAGTTTAGTTTGTTGTAGATGTAACACATAAAAGAAAGTCATAGGTAGACTTTTTATGTCTATTCATCAATCATATCTCCAGCACTGGATTAACAGGCCAACAGATATGAATGAACCTCCCAAGAGGATATGCAGGTCATGTTAACCAGTGCTGAGGGGAACATGAAAAGTAAATGAATGTATTCTTGTCCTCATGGTGCCTATGCTTTACCTGACTCTTACTTGTTACTCTCCTAAACTAGAATGGAATACCTACTTTGAGGTGGTATTACTTATTTAATTTAAATAAGTACTTATTTAAACTCGGTACCGTTGAGTCCAATATACTCATTTTATAGAAGATAAAACATTTTCTCATTTATAGATGGAAATGGTGGCAGAAAAATGGAAGTGTAGCTAATTACTAAAGGCAGTCTATTAGGCATTCAGCTTGTTGCCTAGATTGTAGATTCTAGATCTATATTCTAGATTCTAGATTATAGATCTAGATTCTAGATTTGTACTCAACTTCCCATATCAATATTGCCTACTAATTCTGAACTCAGAGGAAGGTATATTAAGTGAACTTCTGGCAGCCCCACAATCCCCAGATGGCTCTACTTGCAGCACATATTAAGACACACACACATACACTCACCCACAGTCTATTCATAACTAACTAAAAAATGAAACAATTCAAGGAAAACCAAATCAAAGTGTACTTTGTATAATATAAGTAAGTGCTACTGTCAAATATGTGTAGCCTGGAGTATCTGAGAAAGAGTGTAGGTTTCCTTTCTGAGCTATGTTTCATAATGTCCTTTCTGAGCTACATTTCATAGTCATCTAGCAGCCACAATGATATCTTTATGAGAAACACCTAGTGTTTCAGATGAAGCCTAATTCCAAAAAAATCCAATAAATTGCATGGCATTTAGTTTGAATTCAAAAAATGAAATTTCTTGAAAGAAGTTTTTGTCATGCTTGGAAGCCCAGTGGGTGATAGAGTCTGATATAAGCAGTTAGGGTAGCTGGTTATTATGAGGATTTCTGTTCTCAGTTAACTTATTGCCATCATCCGCTTCCTAAACTCATTTGCAGTCACCAGCTGTCAAAGGGAGGTTTTACATTTAGCAATAAGAAGCTGCATCTGGACACCAGATTTCTTGTAGTCTTTAGAGACATCTATCATATCCTCTTTAGAAAAGAGAATAATCAGCTCAGTTTGAGTTGTAAAATTTTTTCAGAATATTTATTATGAATTTATTTTATTTATGTATTTATATGTGTATGTTTGTATATGTCTATATTATGTATTTACACATGCATGTGCCTATAATTTTATTTTCAGATAAATCCAGAATTCATAATTTTTTATTATTCCTAGAAAATAGTTATTGAAATTTTTAAAGAGATTGCTATGTATAAATGGCTATCTAAAATATAGTCTATTCATTGATTATCTTTCATTTCTGAATAATGAGTTAATCAGTAGTGTGAACTTTGTATGTAATTGAAGGTAAAATATTTAAAGTCAACTTCTTTAACAATTTTAAGTTACTTTCAATGGAGAACACATTATAGTAGATTCTTGATGCTTTCAGGGAACAGATCTTAATACAATTGTGATTCTTATTATTCGTCACCACTGTGATAAATGTTAATATATCTAATGTGATAGGCTATAATCTAGATCATTTTTTCCATACATAGTAAATTAAGAGAAACAGTGCAGCCCTGAGTTGCAGATGTGAGCTGTGCCTGGATTTTTTCTGTTGCTCTGCCTCTTACTTTACATATTGATCTTTTTTTACATTTTGTGATTCAGCAAAATGCTAAACAGTTACATAATATTGATCTTCATGCTCACTCTTAATCAATTTCACAAATGTTAATCCTAAAATAATTACTCTGGCAAATTTGAGTTTCTTTTTAATCATTTCTTATTTTTTATAAGTTTCAGGTTACAAGGACATAACCTCTAAATAAGTAAAATGTTACTGCCCCAAACACATCGATTGAACATTTTCAAAATGTGGGTCATTTGTGGAAACCCAGGGCTAAAGATTATAGCATTCGAAATACATTCCTAAAGGATACAGCATGCTGAAAAGAAATTCAGTGTAAGGTGATCTGACAGGCATGTGTATTACTTAAATTATAATTTTCTAAAATCATATCTTTGAGTCTTTCATGGGAGCCAAAAATAAGTTTAAAATGTGCTTGGTAATGCATCAAGTAACAATTAATAAATATTTATTAAATAGGCTTATCAAAGCTTCATCAAATTGATTAATAGAATGACTTTTAGAGTCAAATGGACATAACTTTACATTTTGAATTCAATATTCACTTGCTGTATAACATTGAAAATGCTACATAATTTTTCTGATTCTCAGTTTCCTCATGTAAAAGCAGGAATATAATTGTATTTTCAAAATTTGAAAGTCTTTAAAGGGTGCCTGGTGCATTATCAAAACCTTCAACATTCTAAAATCTGTTAACAAAATTGTGTATGTGTACAAAATTATGCTAATTTATGAGAAAAATATTTAAAAGTACTAGAAAAGGATTCTAATCTTGAAAATCTTATAGTCTGATGAAGGTAAAATATATGTACAAGATATAATTTATCATGTTTAGGAAACATATGGAATGAAATAATTAAAATTTAGCATCTACCTTTCTGCATGACGAGAATGGCCTAATCTTCATCTTTGTTGGTCTACTAGTTTGCTATTTGTAATCTGTTAAGAGCTTTTTTTTCCTGAGACCAAAGACATATTAAGAGAGGCTTCAAAAAAATGAAAAAGAGTAGGGGGTATATGATTTCCCTACAGTCTTTCCTGTTTATAATGCTTTATCCTAACTCCCTGTGGAAGCTAGTGATGCTAATCAATTTTCAAAGTGAACATTAATGCAAGATATCACTATTCCATAAAATTTGAGCGACAATCAACTTTTGATCCATCCTCACTGGCCAACAATTAGAAGTACAACATAAGGATGTGTTTTGAATGATCAAAGAATAGGGGGCTTGGTGGCTCACTTCTGTAATCCTAGTACTTTGGGAGGCCAAAGCAGGTGGACCACTTGTGACCAAGAATTTGAGACCAGCCTGACCAACGAGTGAAACCTGTCTCTATTAAAAATAAAAAAATTAACCAGGTGTGGTGGCACACACCTATAATCTCAGCTACTCAGGAGGTTGAGGCAGAAGAAACATGTGAACCTGGGAGGTGGATGTTGCAGTGTGCCTCCAGCCTGGGTGAAAGAGCAAGACTCTGTCTCAAAAAAATAAATAAATAAAAAATAAAAAATTAAAATTAAAAAATTTAAAAAAAAAACAGAGTAAGAGACCAGCTATCATTTTTAGAACTGGCCTTTAATGTGTACAGAATCCATAAAAACTCCATAAAACCTCTCCTAAATAAACAAGAAAAATCACAATATTGGTTAGGTCAGCCCCTGTTTCCTTTCTTGTTTCACTCTAGAGGCTTCTGCCAAATGATCAATAACCACAGAATACTGAAAGATGGGGATGCTAGATAAAATTTTGACACTATCAAGGCTAATCAAGCTGGTATTAATTCCTATGTGACATGCAAAATGCTACTATTGATATAAATTAAAAGTACTTAATCTTTTGTTTAGGCAAAAAGTAAAATTAGGGTTTTGTTTTCATTAAACCCATTAAACAGAAAAAGGCAAATTATGTCATCAGTAAGGGGTTATGTAAAATATTGAAATCCTCCTTTGATTTAAAAACAAATATCTCAATGAGGTACTGTGCAGTTGGAGCATGGGCATGAGAGTCTTAAAATAACATAAGAATTTAAACTTTATTGAACATATTTGGAATAAATTATGGTGTCCTAGAGGAGACAGTATGTTATTCCACACCCAAAGGCAAAGATATGTGAGGTAGAGAGAAAGGAGAGTTGTTAACAAAAATGATGAAAATTATGATATTGTAACATTGCATTATTTCAATGAATTTATGCTGTGGACATTGATATCTATTTTCATTTGACAAAGGAACTAGGTCTCAGAGAGTTGGGGTTTTGCCAACGTAACTGGCTGCTTCTAAAAACAAATTCAGAATTCTTTAATTCAGAATTTTTGTTTTTTTAGATGAAGTCTCCCTCTGTCACCCAGGCTTGAGTGCAATGGCGCGATCTCGGCTCACTGTAACCTCCAACTCCCAGGTTCAAGCAATTCTGTTGCCTCAGCCTCCCAAATACCTGAGATTACAGGCGACTGCCACCATACCTGCCTATTTTTTTTGTATTTTTAGTAGAGATGGGGTTTCGCCATGTTGGCCAGGCTGGTCTCGAACTTCTAACCTCAGGTGATCTGCCCGCCTCGGCCTCCCAAAGTGTTGGGATTACAGGCATAAGCCACCATGACCATGCCCAGAATTCTAATTAATGTCTACTGTTCCTCTTCATACACAAAATCTAACTTATAGTGCTGGTTGAAAGCAGAGTTTTAGTGTGACTGTGATAGACAAAAAGGGTGAGGAAATAAAATAGTAACATATCCATGTCTGTTTATAAATTCTGGATTTAACAATTCATATTTGAAAATAATTGTCTGACTATATCAGAATGTATTTATTTACTGACTTACTGTTCACTTTTTTATTTAAATTGTTTACTTCTCATCTCAATTTCCTTCAGCTCAGCTCTGACTCTGGTTGTTTCTTCTCTTCGCCTAGCTTTGGGGTTGGTTTGCTCTTGTTTCTCTAGTTTCTGTAGCTAGCTGTGATGTTAGGTTGTTAATTTAGATCTTTGTATCTTTTTTATGTGAACATTTAGCACTAATAATATCCCTTTTAACAACGCTTTAGCTGTGTCCCAGAGATTCTGGTATGTTGTATTTTTGTTCCCATTAGTTTCAAATAATTTCATGATTTCTGCCATACCTGCACTGTTTACTCAAAAGTCATTTGGGAGCAAGTTGTTTAATTGCCATGTAATTGTATGGTTTGGAACAATTTTCTGAGTATTGATTTTTATTTTTATTGTACTGTGGTCCAAGAGTGTGTTTGGTATGATTTCAGTTTTTTTTAAAGTTTGCTTAGGATTGTCTGGTGGTCAATTTTGTGTTGGATTTTAGAATATGTGCCATGTGCAAATGAAGAGAAAGTATATTCTATTTTGGGGAGGTGGAGAGTTCTGCAGATGTCTGTTAGACCCATTTGGTCAAATGTTGAGTTCATGTCCTGAATATTTTTATTAGTTTTCTGCCTTTGTCTAATACTGTCAGTGGGGTGTTGGAAGTCTCCCAATATTATTGTCTGTTGTCTGAGTTTATTCATAGATCTCTAAGAACTTGCTTTATGAATCTGAGTGCTCCCTGATTGGGTGCATATATATCTAGGATAGTTAGATCTTGCTGAATTGAACCCTTTGCCCTGATGTAATGCCCTTCTTTGTATTTTTTGACTGCCATTGGTTTAAAGTCTATTTTGCCTGAAATGAGAATAGCAATCCTTGCTTTTTTTTTTTTTTTTTGGTTCCTATTTGCCTGGTAGAGTTTTCTCCATTCCTTTACTTTGAGACTATGGGTGCCATTGCTTGTAATATGGATCTCTTGTAGACAGCAAACAGTTGGTGCTTGACTCTTTATCCAACTGGACACTCTGTGCCTTTTAATTGGGGCATTTACACCATTTACATTCAAGGTAAATATTGATACATGTAGGTTTGATCCTGTCATTAAGTTATTAGCTGGTTATTATGCAGACTTGATTGTATGATTGCTTTAAACTGTCAGAGGTTTATGCATTTATGGGTATTTTTGTGGTGGCTGGCAATGGTCTTTTCTCTCCGTAGTTACATAGTTAGCACTCCCTTAAGGACCTCTTGTAAGGCAGGTCTAGTGGTAATGAATTCCCTTAGCATTTGCTTGTCTAAAAAGGATCTTATTTCTTCTTCACTTATGAATCTTAGTTTGGCTGGATATGAAATTCTTTATTGGAATTTCTTATATTTAAGAATGCTAAATATAGGCCTTAATCTCTTCTGGTTTGTAGGGTTTATGCTGAAAGATCTGCTATTAGCCTGATGGGGGTCCCTTTGTAGGTGGCCTGCCCCATTTTCTCTGGCTGCCTTTAACATTTTTTCTTGCATTTCCACCTTGGAGAATCTGAAGACTATGTGTCTTGCTCCTATCCAACATAGTACTGGAAGTCCTAGCCAGAGCAATTAGGCAAGAGAAAGAAATAAAAGACATCCAAATAGGAACAGAGGAAGTCAAACTATCTCTGTGGGAAGACTATATGATTCTATTTCTAGAAAGACTTACAGTCCCTGCCCAACATCCCTTAGATCTGATAAACAACTTCAGCAAAATTTCAGGATACAAAATCAACGTACAAAAATTAGTAGCATTTCTATACTCCAACACCATTCAAGCTGAGAGCCAAATTAACATTCACAATAAGCACAAAAAGAAGAAAATACCTAAGAATACGGCTACCCAGAGAGATGAAAGAACTCTACAATGAGAATTAGAAAACATTGCTCAAAGAGATGAAAGAACTCTACAAGGAGAATTAGAAAACATTGCTCAAAGAAATCAGAGATGACACAAACAAATGGAAAAATATTCCATGCTCATTACTAGGAAGATTCAATATTGTTAAAATGGCCATACTGTCCAAAGCAATTTACAAATTCAATGCTATCCCTATCAAACTACCAAAGACATTGTTCACACAAATAGAAAAAACTATTTAAAAATTCATATAGAAACAGAAAAGAACTCCAATAGCCAAGGCATTCCTAAGCAAGAATAACAAAGTTTGACATATGGTATTACACACCTTCAAACTATACTGCCAGGCTACAGTAACCAAAATAGCATTGTACTGTTTGGTTCAACCAATAGAACAGATATTGACCAATAGAACAGAATAGAGAATGAAGAAATGAAGATACAGACCTACAACTATCTGATCTTTAACAAGTTTGACAAAAACTAACAATCAAGAATGGACTCACTTTGTTGTTGTTGTTATTTGTTTGTTTTTTGTTTTTCTTTTAACTTTTATTTTAAGTTATGGGGTACATGTGCAGATGTGCAGGCTTGTTATGTAGGTAAACATGTGCCTCGGTGATTTGCTGCATGGATCAACCCATCACTCTAACTTTTTAATAAATGATGCTGGAATAACTAGCTAGCCATATGCTGAAGACTGAAGCTGGACTTCTTCATATCATATACAAAAATCAACACAAGATGAACTAAGGATTTAAATACAATATATATAATTATAAAAGCCCTTGAAGATAACCTAGTAAATATCATTCTGGATATAGACCCTGGCAAAAATTTCATGATGAAGATACCAAAAGCAATTGCAACAAAAACAAAAAATGACAAGTGGGATCTAACTAAACTAAAGATCTTCTTCACAGCCAAACAGACCAAATCCAGAGTAAACAGACAACCTATAGAATGGGAGAAAATATTTGCAAAGTATGTATTTAACAAAGATCTAATATCCAGAATCTATAAGGAACTTAAATGAATTAAGAAGCAAAAAACAACCCCATTAAAAAGTGGACACAGGAAATGAATGGCCACTTTTGAAAAGAAGACATACATGTGGCCAACAAGCATATGAAAAAATGCTCAACATCACTAATCATTAGAGAAATGCACATCAAAACCAAAATGAGATACTGTCTCACACCAGTCAGAATGGCTACAATTAAAAAGTCAAAAAATAACATGCTGGCAAGGTTGCAGAGAAAAGGGAATGGTTATACTCTGCTGGTTTAAATGTAAATTAGTTCAGCCATTGTGGAAAGTAGTGTGGCAATTGATCAAAGAAATTAAAACAAGAGTACAATTTGACCCAGCAACCTTATTATTTGGTATATAAGCAAAGGAATATAAATCATTCTACCACAAAGACGCATGCATGCATATCTTCAGTGCCACCCTATTCACAATAAAAAAGTCATGGAAGCAAACTAAATGCCTATCAATGGTAGACTGGATAAAGTAAATGTGGCACATATACACCATGGAATATTATGCAGCCATAAAAAGAATGAGATCATGTCCTTTGCAGCAACATGGATAGAAGTGGAGGTCATACTCCTAAGCAAACTAATGCAGGAGCAGAAAACTAAATATCCTATGTTCTTACTTATAAGTGGGGGCAAATCATTGAGTACACATAGACACAAAGAAGGGAACAACAGACACCAGGACCTACTTGAAGTTAGGAGGAGGTAGGGGATTGAAAAACTACCTATCGGATACTATGCTTATTATCTGGGTGACAAAATAATCTGTACAGCAAAACCCTGTGACGCACAATTTACTTGTATCTGACACATAACCCTGAATCTAAAATAAAAGTTAGAAGATAAAAAATTAAAAAATAAATAAATAATTCAAAATTTAAAATTAAAATAATTAAAAATAAAAGTTTACTTCTCAAAAGAATAGAAGCATTTTCCCTCACCTTTTGAAGTGTAGAATACTCCTTATATTCCATAAAGTAATCACATTGCCAGTTGAAGTCACTCATGCCATTCCTTTCAACCAACCTCAACCTTTAGGGACCATGAGTGGCCTTATACCTCACTGTTAGAAGTAAATAAATAAAATATAATGGAAATCAAATAGTCTTTGAAAGCAGGTAAACTTGGGTCTGTATCCCAGTTGAGACAGTCACTGTGTGTGTAACTTAGAAAAGTAATTTGCTAAGTGTATACAAGCATGAATGCAAATTGTGTAGCATAGTTCTGCTTATATAGTAATTCATAAAATGTAACTGGCATTATTATTTTTAACTACTAAATGACCCCTGTTTTTGTGTCTAACACTCTAACTCGGTATTAGGACAGAATTCATGCTTATAGCTTCAATATAATTAGTGGAAATCCTCATCTTCTTCCTATTTCTTTTCAGGTTAATTCTGTGGGTTGCTGGATTCTGGCTCCCTTATGCCCTGCAACCTTATGGCTTCATGCTATATATGAACTTCTTACTAGGAATAATGGATGACTTGACTGTTCTCTGCTTCCTGAACAACTTCTACCATCATGTTAAATTGAAGCTTCTCAGTTATGCCAAGTTATTCAATATATGATGTCCTATGTTCCTCATCTTTGCACTGGAAATAATGCTGTCAACTCAGTAAGTTGTTTTAAGTTAAAGATCTATCCACCAAATATTTCTCACAGTGTCTGACACATACTGAGTATTCAAAATATGGTAGTTATAATTACTTTATTCTTATACATAAATAAATATTGTAATATTTCTAAATCAATTTCATACCCCATACATCCATTTTTTCCTTGAACTTTAGATGTTGTAGCTACCGTCATAAAAGTTAACCCCACATTTCCATAAGTTTCCTTAGGCCCTTATTCCACTTGGTTTACTTCTTTCTCCTACTTATTCCTACATATTTGCAGAACTTACAGAATATCTTATACTCTAATTTATCTTAGTAAAGCAATGTGCTTTGCATATTTGAGATTGCTGTATAATTTTGATGATACAATAGAGATGCCCCAGCTCAGTGAGATTTTGTCCCACCCTAGAAGAATCTGAATGTATTAAAAATAATTTAACCGTAAATGATACCTTAGAGTCTAACTTGCAAATCAATTTTCTCTTAAGTTTAAATTATATGAAAGACTTGGAATATTCCACCCACAACTTCTAATATATTCATCTCCATGTATTCTTTTCTACTCTTTTTTAGCTGACTGAATTCAATCCCTGGAGTTCTAAGAGAAATCTCACTCCAAGAAAATGTAGAGAAGTAATACCCTAAATATCTGTAGTTCACTGATTCAGTTTATCATAAAGTATCTGAAATATTTTAGCATTTGTCCTACAAAGGCCCAGATTTTGAGGTAACAAAGTACTTTCATTAATCCTTTTAATATTTCTCTTTGCCAGAATGCTTGATCAAAAGTATTGATTATCTGGTGTCAGCTGTTTTCCTGAATTCATGCAGTACTGACAAAGAAGAATTTGGAATTAAATACCAGAGAAGAGTTCTATTCCACCTAGAGGGTACAGTTTTGTGACAATATTTTTGACATTCTAATTAGGTTATCAGCCTATGATTGCAAATAAAAAATGAAACAATAATAATATTTAAATACAAAGGTATTTAAAGTAATGAAAGCAAAAGTCTAATGTACATCTTTAGTTCTTTTTTCATAGCTGAGTTAATAAATACTTTTTGTATCAAGTTAATTTGATATAAAAAGTAATTCTTATATATTACTAATCAAGATAATATGAATTACAACAAAGCATTACTTAGAAATATAATATTAAAATGCAACAGCTTTAAATCCTATTGACCCAATGGATATTACCTACAAGTCAGGCTCTGTACAAACCCATTCAGAATGCTCCAGCTGACAGTGCAGTATTTTATGCCAATCAAATTATGTTATTGTGATAGAACATGATATGGATTTTTAAGAAAAAAATGATCCAATACAAAACTGTTATATACTTGGCCCTCATCCCCATGATCACAAATCCCAGAATTTCAAGAAAATTTGGCCAACTGAAGTAAATTGTAAATTGTGTTTACACTGTCACATAGGTGGCATCACTATAGCTAAGACACAAAGTATTCTCTGTGTATTGTCAAGATTATCCTGAAATACCATAATTTTTAAAAGTTTTCAGGACATATCTATTTATCTAATGTTATATATATTTAAATAAAATATCTATACTATTTTAATATATACCTTAATTTTCTCTGCTATGTGTTTAATTCTGTCATGTAAAAAAGAGACACGAAAATTGTAACCCCCAGCACCTTAGAATGTGAACTTATTTGAAAATGGAATCATCACAGAGGTAATCTGGTTGAAATGAGCTCATTAGGATAGACGGTAATCCAATATGACTGGGCTACTTATAGAAAAGAGAAAATTTGGACACAGATAGACACATAGAGGGAAGATGATGAAGATACACAGAGAGAATGCCACTGAAGATGGAGGTAGAGATTGCAATTATGTTGCCACAAACCAAGGAACATCTGGGATTGCCAGAAGCAGGAAGAGGCAAAGAAGTAACCTTCTCTACAGGTGTTAGAGGGAGCATGGCCCATCAATCCCTTGATTTCACACTTCTAGCCTTTAGAACTATGAAACAAAACTTTTCCCTTGTTCTAAGACATCTAATGTATAATACTTTGCTATTGCAGCCATAGGAAGCTATACCTTCTTTCCTTCACTATTAAAAATTTTATTGTTCTCTTTCAACTCCTTTGACATCATGTCTATTCCTTTATAACTAAAGTCAATGATTAATTAAAGAATAATATCTCTTTCTAAGTGTAAGGTTGTGTTCCAACTGTCTTACATACATTAATTCATTTAATTCTTACAACAACCCTGTGAAGTAAATACTATTATTTTGCTTTTTACAGATGAGAAAGCAGAATTGCAGGAATGTTAAATCATTTCCTCAAGTAAAAACACAAAATTGTTTTTGGTTAAGCAACTTTCGTTTGTCTGTCTTTTGTATTTATGCTGATTTTACTTTGCTCAATATGTTAGAAAGCACTCAGGAATAAATGTGATTTACATTGAATCTGGGTTGCTTAATCAAAGTAGTTACAATTTCTTAGGCATAAATATCTAGATATGGGAAGTTCCACAATCTTATTATAGTTCACATTGTTCTCTTGCTCAAAAAAAAAAATATTTTGTGTGAGGACCTACTGAAAAGAATTGAGGAAGAAAATAAACACAATTTTCTATTCAAGAGGCTGTTTCTTTCTGCCCTTCCTATGTTTTGATATGTCCTGGACAGAATTGTGACGAAAGCAGCAAAGGCTTCCTCAGTGCATGCTTAGTGTATTTCTTTATACATTTATGTTAAATGTACCAATCAATTCAAAATAGAATTGATTGGTACCAAAACATTTTATCCATTTCACTTACTCATTTTCAAAAGATGCTAAAATAATATTTTATAGTGAACCAGTGTGGTCAAAAACACTCTTTTTATATAGCTTTCACACATGAGTAATGATTTTGGACATATCAAAATTCATTTCAATTAATAATTGCATTCCACTTAGGTTTACAAATCATTTACAAAAGTTTTTCAATACTGTACAGAATCTGAGATTTTGCCCTATGTTCAAACAAGAATTTAATCTGCCACAATATCAAGAATGTTGGCAGAAGACTAAGGCTTCTGTGTAGAGACAAAGGATTTTATTACTCCCAGAAATAGCAATAGTCAGATTATTAACATTTTCTTGTGCTGGTTCTTTAGGCCCTAATTCCCATAGGGCTACATGACAAAAAATAATAATAGGTGCCTCTACAGTGGGCTATATTACCAGAGAGGAACACTAAAGTCAAGGATCATGGATGTTTTATAATGAACAGTAAACATGCTGTACATTTGCCCTGAAGGGAGATTACATCTCTATCATCCAAAACTGTAAGCAAACATGCCCTTTACTGTAGAAAAAGAGATCATCTGTGTTTTCCATGGACAGTCTCCATAGAAACATCTTTGAAAAAAGAATTAAGAACAAAAACATTTATTTCCTCTGCTTGAAAGACATGCAGAAACACAAGAAGCCTATGAATAATTGTCTCCCATAAAAGGCATGCAATTAACTCTTCCTAAGTGATCATTAAAAATAAACTATTTAGCTTAGTTATGGATACTTAGTAATATATTCAATTAAATCCATAAACAATTCTGGAATCAATACCAATAATGCCAACAAATAAACATGCCTAACAGGAGTGTCTTGGTCCACTTTTGCTGCTATAACAAAATATGGAATGGGTAATTTATAAAGAGCAGAAACTTATTTCTCACAGTTCTGGGAGCTAGGAAGTCCAAGATCAAGGCATTCACAGAATTTGCTTTCGTATAAGGGCTAGTCTAGTCTTTGCTTCTAAATTGGCTTATTGGGAGGAGAGAGGAATGCTGTGTCCTCACATAGTAGAAGGCAGGAGAGCAAACAACCTGAACACTTTAAGAAGATTCTTTTACTAAATCCTTAATTATATTCACAAGAGTAGGAGCTCTAATGATCTAACTACCTCTTAAAGCCATACCTCTTAATACGCTTAGATTGGCCATTAAGCTTGAACACCTAAATATTAGAGACAACACATGCAAACTATAGCAAAGAGTAAGAACTGGGAAGCAAAACAAGACTACATGATAAACAACAGATGACGAAAAGGGAGCAAATTAAATGAACATCCAGTGGTTGCCACTGGGTCTTCCACTTCTAGTCCATGTGTGGTAAGAGGAATAGGAACTACACTTTCACCAGAAATGACTAAAAAACTAGAGAAATAAATTAAACAATTGTTATCAGACATTGTACATCAGGTGATGTGGGATGGAGATTTCTGGGGAAGAGAATAATAATGAAGTGATCCTTATGATTGCTTCACCTTACTTCCTGGAGATAGTCTGCAGGCTGTGACTCAGGGTCACAGAACACCAAGCTCAGAAGTTCCTTTGAATTGAGGAGATGGCACAAGAAAACCAGGGAGGTGCAAAGTAACATGAAGAAATGGTTTCTGGTGGAGATGGATATGTTTGTTTTCATGGGTTGTGATGATGATTTCATGGGTGTATAGATATATGAACACTAATCTAACTGTACACTTTAAATAAGTGTAGTTAACTGTATTCCATACAGCTTTAAATAAAATGATGAAAATTATACAAACGGTTTATGTGATTAGTTTGGAAATAGTGATAGTGGCAGGAGAAAGACAAACTCCTAGGCAGATAGGGATGGGTCCTCAATGAAACCTGACCTTCAAGCCAAAGAGCCTGAAGCCTGAAAACTGAGCCACCAGTTCTGGGTGGAGTCCAGGACCTGAGTGAGAACTTCCTCTATGCCTTTTAGCTAATCAAATGGTGCTTTTTATAGGCCCACCCACAGACTCCTTAGCACACATTCCCCCATTCTAAGCCCATACAAACCCTGGACTCAGCCTCGCAGAGGGCTACCTGCTTTCAGTCCCTCTCTCACACAGAAGGCTAACCACTTTGGGTCCCCTCTCATTATCGAGAGCTTTTCTGTCACTCAATAAAATTCTTCTCTGCCTTGCTTGCTCTCTAGTGTCTGTCCACCTCATTCCTCTTGGTTGTGGGACAACAATTTGGAACCTCCCAAAAGGTGGGTGTGAAAAGAGCTGTAACACGCGTTTCTGCTCACCAAGCTACAGGAGTGAAAAAAACTGCTGAACGCCACACAACCCCATTCACCAAGCTGTGGGCAGCAGGAACAGGTGAGGACTGCAACATCTCCTGGGGGCTCGGACCTTGGGGCTCCCCAAGCAAAAGCTGTAACTCTCCCTGGGCCTCTGTCATTGCTGGCATCTCCTAGTTTTCAGACACCTTTGTGTCCCCCTCTTCCGGATGCCAGGGCCCAAGGCAGAAGCTGGTTGCAGCATGCCCAGACCAGCCTCTTGGCTGAACGCAGAGCCACAGCTGGCACAGGATTCTGGTGTAGCATGAGCTGACTTAAGCCTGCCAGGCCAAGTGGGTGGAGCCAGCCATGTGGGCCTGAGGAAAGCCCAGGCAGAGGTGCCAGCAGCAGAGAATTTTCACTGGCAAAGTGGCACTAAAAGAATCCTGTGTCAATAGTAAAAGTACATAGACAGGTTTTATTTTGTAAGATTTAAAATTAAAATGTATTTATTATATTTCACTTTTAAATGATCTTAGTTTAGATTATATATGTGTATATATCTACATGTCTTGGTTTAGATTACACACACACACCATATACACAAACACACACACACAATGGACTGAATGTTTGTGTCGCCCCTAAAATTCATATGCTGGAGCCTTCATCACCAATGTGATAGATTTGGAGATGTAGCCTTTGGAAGGCAATTAAGTTTAGATGAGTTCATGAGAATAGATCCCCATGATGGGATTAGTGACCTTATAAAAAGAAGAGACATGAGATATCTCTCTGCATGCATGCTTCAAGGAAAGGCTATGTGAGGACCTAATCTGAAAGGCCATCACCAAGAAACCAGCCATGATGGCATCCTATCAGACTTTCAGTTTCCAGATCTATGAGGAATAAATGTTTGCTGTTTAAGCCACCCAGTCAACAGTATTTGTTATAGCACCCCTAACTGACCAAGAAAATATATTTTTAAACCAAGTTTAGATTAAAAAAATATTTTTTTTATCCTGCCAAAAGTCATTTTAATGAGATTGTCATGATGGCTTTAGGAAAAAGATGAAATGCATATAGATGTATTATGGAATTTCTGAAGCATTGTACTATGAGGAACTTTGAAGTAAGAGTAAGTAGTAAAAATGCGCAATTTCTGTCCTACGTGAAATTATATCAGACAACCTCTGCTTACACTTATAATACATGAGTGAGTTTTAAACTCCTCATAATACACTGGTCTTAGAGACCAAGAAAGCATGATTCCTGTGATTCATCTGGGCTTAGACTGAATTTTTATTGTTGCTATTTACCTTCTCCCTTAATTATATATAATTATGCTGTATTGTGTTTAACAAATGACACCTGACACATCACAGGATAAAAGTCATCCAGATCTGGGTCACTGGAGCTGAGTAGGGTAGACTCAGCTGCATGTGGTGGTAAGAAGTCTCAGTTCAGCCAAAAGAACAAACAAACAAACAAAACGTTCAAACCTTCAGTTTACAATAGCAGGTGGTAGCACTTACCCAAATATGGGCAGAAAGCGGTGGCAATGCATCCAAAAGTAAATGGGCCAAAATTTACTAAATATAGCATCAAAACTCTGACTAAAAATAGTAGAGCTACAGCCTAGCCCTTTCAAATAAGTGAGGCTGTAAAATCTTTACAATGACCCATTCCTGGGTTTTTTTGTTTTGTTTTGTTTTTTGTCTAGGGGACTAGACAGAAGTTCATTTAGCAATGGTAGACTCAGCACTGGCTTGTCACTAATTTCTTTGATGTCAATGTTTTTCATTACTTTTGCTCCAGGTGAGAATAACTTTTAGAAATGAGATAGGATGAAGCAGAGTATGGGACCAAACCATGCATGGCTGGGGGAATCAAGATGGTAAAATGAATGGAATTGTTCTCAAATTTCAGGTGTTGAACAATTACTTGGAAGACATTGTAAGAATTCAGACTCCCATTCCTACCCCTTTTCAGAGTCTGACTCACTAGATCTAAACTGGGACCCAGGAAACTGTACTTAAATAAGTTTGTTGCATAACTGAAGACCATATTTTGGTAAATGTGGTCAGTGGTTAGGAGGTGGACTTTGAAACCAGGCAGGCTTCATGATTGAATCCCAAACTGTGTCATACCTTAGCTATGTAAATATAAGCAGATCATGATACTGAAACTAAGTCTTCAGTAAAAGTAGGTAATTACCTTATCTCAAAAAGTTCTGGTGAAGAGTAAATGTAAATTATTATGACTAGAGCATGACACATATTTACTTGTAATAACAGAGCTCTCTTACTGTTATTAAAGAACTAAGGACATGGCGAAGCCTGACAAAAATTGGTAGTGAAATAATTATAAAATATTCCATCCTCATTCTGATTGGTGGGGTGAATTTTAACATTTAGTTTAAAAAACATTAATATGCTTTATAAGACATATATAATGAATCAAGGGGGGTTAGAAAACTGGGGTGAGAGGTGTAGCAAATAGGGAACTCTTAGACAAATAGTTCAAATTTTTCTGAGAATGGCACAGTAAGGAAATTGGGTTTATAGCTAAAGATGTAACCAAAATAATTTTAGTGAAACAACCATGTAAAAAATGAATTTGAAAGAAAAATGTAAAGAAAATGATAAATTAAAAAATTTGCCTCATAAAGAAAATAGAAAAGTTCTAAATGTTTTATCAAATAAAAATTAGTATTTTATAGATGTTCTTTGTATCCATTTCCTAGAGAATGAAAATCAAACTTAAGCTAGCATGCAGTTATGCAAATTATGGTAAGAATTCTGAAAAAATCTGTTAATAAGTAAATAAAATGGAAATAATTGACTATATATAACCAAATGTTTAAAAGTTTTTGAAAATAAAAATTGAATTGTTGTTATACTAAGAATATTTGTAAAAACTGTAATACTTCAAATAACTCTATTTTTTAAACAGAACTGATGAAAGTTTTTATTTATTTTAATCATGTATCATGGTCATTGGTGAGGTCAAACTTGTATTTGTTTTTTTATAAAGGTAGGTTTCAATGCCAGCAACTTTTTTTCTATAGTCAACGTACGTTGATATGTTTTTCAGGTACACTAGAAAAAGTTTCACTGAAACACCTCTGAAGACAAGAGGTCCTTTTTTTCTCTATTACTTGTGGCATAATTGCCACTTAATATTTACTCCAAATCATGTGTGCTAAACTATTGGCAATGCTAATGTAGTATTGATTATTTTACTTCTCTGTGTTTCTAAATCCTACAAACTAGTAAACTATGTCAAGCAACAAAGAAAAATTTTTTCCAAGTAACAATAATAATAATAAACAAATAAACACCTGGGGATAAAAGATTCATTTTGGTTGGTTCCAAGTCTTTGCTATTATAAATAGTGCTGCAATAAACATATATGTGTCTTTATACTAAAATGATTTATAATCCTTTGGATATATATCCAATAATGGGATTGTTGGGTCATATGGTATTTCCGGTACTAAATCCCAGAACATAAAGTAAAATTTTTTTAAAAAGATTCATTTAATCAACTATATGATACAGAGTTTTTGAAATAAAAATTATAATGAATATAAATTCAGGTAAGTGGAAACAAATGGACTGTATTTTTTAAGTAGCCTTCATTTTTCAGAGGAGTTTTAGTTTCATAGCAAAATTGAGCAGAGAAGATACTAAGACTTTTATTTTTCTTTCTCAGTAAGAGAATAAACTGACATACTTATACAAGCAGCCACGTACACACCTTCAAGTTCTTTCCTCTACTCTTTGCTCATTTTATCTCCTGGCTAAATGTCACTTTTTCTATCACTTATCACCTCATAATTCTTGGTGATTTAAGTCTTCATATCGATGATACTTCTATATCTTGGTCTTTCTCATCTTATCCTTCTTCTTACCTCAGCTATTTATTATCATAAGCATACCTCTATTTTAAAAAATTAAGCATTTTTTAAAAATTTTAATTGACAAGTAAAAATTGTATATATTTATGGAGTACAATATGATGTTTTCATATATGTATACACTGTAGAATAGCTAAATCAAGCTGTGTAATATAGGCATTATCTCAAATACTTATTTTTTGTGGTGAACACAATTAAAATCTACTCATTTAGAAGCTAGATAATGCTATGATAACAATCTCAACTAAATCTCAGTGGCTTACCACAACACAATATTATTTCTTTTCTCACAAAATATCATTGATCCAAGATTCTCCAGGGAATCTTCCTCTATGTAGTGGTTCACCATTCTAGAACACTACATCTAGTAGCACGACTTTTTTGTTCAACATGACACTTCAGGTTTTGCTGTATCAAGGAAACAGAGCATAGAGAATTGGTTTATAAAGACTTCTGCCCAGAAGTCATATTGCTCTCAATTCATTGGCCACGCAAATCACATGGCCATGACTATCTCCAAGAGGAAACTTTTTAATCTTTTCTTGGTCAAAACTATTCTCTCATTAAATTCAGTTCTTAGCCTACAATGTACCTGCTCCTATACAGCGTAACAGAGCAAACAGTTCTAATATTAGACCTAGTTCATTGCTATGAACCTCAGATAGGCTCTTAGTGCCAACACACAATTTTACTACATTTTCATGGTCCAATAATTCTTAACTCTCCTAGACAACACCTTCGGACTTTCTCTCTTCTCAAATCTCCATCACATCCTTTCAGTTCTTATTCTCAGCTGATAAACCATCCATCCTCCAGGACAACTTTTTTTTTCCTTTTCTTGCAGAGTATAACACATATAATATAAATATGTGAAAAGCTGGTGGCATTTTGTATTCACTGGAAAAATAAAAGCCAGCAGAAGAGGCATTCCATTAGTACCTACCACACCAGCCTCTCCTCTACTATATCTCCTTCATTATCAACTTCTTTTTCATTGAGTTTTCCTTTTCTCTCCTATCTTTAAAGGTTGTACTCCTTCTAGTTTTTGTAATTTTTTTCCTTTGTTCTGTGCTCATTCCCTGTACTCTAATGGTTACAAATAAGATCTGTTTAAAGAACCACCCGAAATTTATATTTCCAGTCTGAACATCACCTGTGATCTCCAGACTTGTGAATGCAACTGCCTAATTATCCCTTTGAATTTCTATTTGGCATTGCGAACCTAATCCATCCAAAATTAAACACCCAATATCTGGCTCAGATCTCCATTCCAAATTATTCTTCTACCACTCAGTATTAGGTAACTCTATCTTCCCAGTTCCTCAGAACAAAAGACTTTGGAGATGTCCTTGACATATCACTTTTTCCGACACTCTGCATCTAATCAATAAGGAAACAATGTTGGCTCTACCTTTAAATTCTATCCATAATCTCACCATTTATCTCCATTTCTGTCACCAACACCTTGACCCAGATCATAACCTCCTAAAAAATTTTCCTTCTTCATCCTGTTATCCTCAGGTCTATTTTCCATACAGAAGCCAAAATCATCCTCTTGAAATGTAAATCAGATAATGTTATTCAAAACTCTACCATGACATGCATCTCTCTCAGAGTAATAGGTAAAGCCCTTATAATGGCATACAAGGTCCTATGCAATCAAGCTGCGTATGTTACTATTTCTCACATTTCTAACTCTGCATCATTCCCACTGGTTTTCATATGGTTTCTCAAATGCACTAAAATCTCTTCCATATAGTCCTTTGTATTTGCTTTTATCTTGGCCTGGAATAGTTATTCCCATATATCCAAATGCCTCCCTTACTCACTTTCTTCAGGTCTTTGTACTACTGTCACTTCATCAGAGCAGCATTCTCTGACTCTATTTAAATATTTTTCTAACCAACACCACAACCAATGACACTCCCCTTTCTCCCACTGGTACTCCATGTTCTTCGTCTCTGCTGTATTTTTATTCGTAGCACTTTTGCCATTATACTTCATTTATTGGTTTGTTTCAACATCTGCACTAGAATGTAATCAAAGGAATGCTGCAAGAGAAGACAAATTCTGAACACATAACTACCAATGAGAGTTTAGGTTAATGAGCTCCTAGTATTAGCAGATGATAGAAGAAATGAAATAAGCGTGTAGAATATGAAAGAAAAATATCATAGTACTACAATTGTATCTTGGTTCAATATTTGTCTACTGAAATTCATTTTTAAAGTTATAAATCATGTACAAAGTGTTGAAAAAGAAAATGGAATCTGAAGTCCAACACTATGGTGCACTAATACTTAGTCTTTATTTTACACAGTTTCCTGCACTTTGTAGTATTTATTTAGGCAGAAGAAATTTGGAGCAAAGCTTTGTAGCGAAGCTTTCTGGCAATTTAAAAAAGAATGTGAGTTTGTAGAAAAGAAAATCTGGCATTTTCTGTGTCTGACTTCATTAACAATTCTGAGAGCAATCTTTCATCTGAATTATTTTTATAAATTGCTACTGGGAAAAGTACTTGCTTTTATGCTTGTGATTGCCAAGCAAGCACATCCCTAGATGCTGCATAAATGAGCAGAGTCGAATTTAAAACAGAGTTGATGTGAATCAAGCGTGCCAAACGTTATGCTCAGCTGAGGAGGCCCCCATTCATGCAGCGCAACCTGGTCTATCATCATTTGGCGGGGAGACCTCACATTCCTCCACACCTGGCTTTTGCTGATGATAACAAGCCAGATTCTCCTCAGCAGGACCATTCCTTGCTGAGCAGCTAGAAAGAAAAATGTTCGGTGGGTAAATTTATCTTTGGGCTTTCCAAAAGTACCTCAATGTGCTTTATATTCCTTCATTACTGCTTGGCATCACCGTACTCACTCTTTCTCCCTAGATGAAATCCAGCTTCTAGATTATCCATATTCATGAAGTATAAAAGAGCAAACTTGGCCTAAGTTAGTGTTTTTTCTTTAAAAGTTTTAAGAAAAACATTTTACATTCTGAAGATAAAATCTTAAGCATCAATGCATGACTTGTGGATCATATGGAGTCAGAGGAAAATATCATCTTCTGCCCTTAAATATCATACTTCATAGATTCTCAGAACTTTGGGGGGCAATTCTACCAAATGTCTGATTCCCCACAGTGGAGTCAGCCTTTCTTAGCTAAAGACTTTCATTGTAGTTATGCTAGAAATGTGCAATAGGAACTAAAGGGTTCTATTTTCAGGAGGAAAATTCAAGGGAGGAAATCTGAGGGTGTATGTTCTTATTTCTCCTAAGGCCAAAGGTGAGAACTGAGTTTAATATAACAACAAGAAAAAAATCCACTTTTACTCACACACACAAAAAATAAGTTTCAAGAAGATGCCTAGGAAAGTAATAGTTTTACTGTTAGCAATTCTATTAAGGTATATGACTAAGTGCTGAATATTCGGCTTTTTAAAGAACAGCTTTTCTATTTAGACTTGATTGGAACGCACAGCATAGGAAGAAAAAACAAACTAAGACACTAAAGTCAGTCTTGAGTTTAAATCCCTGCTTCATCACTTAGCCACTTTGAAGACGATACTTAATATCTCTGAGCCTCAGTTTCCCTATCTTTAAGATAAAGTATCAAAATTTAAACTACTGACAAAGAGATGAAATGTACTTAACATAGTATATAGCATGCATTAATTAATGTTAGTAATGACATTTGTAATTTCTAGTTATTAAGACAAAAATAAAGAATGGTGAATTTTGCATATTACCTTACAGGATCATTATTTACAGGATGAATAAGACAGAAGAAAATAAGAAGGAACACAAGGGTTAGTAGCCTGGGAGTTCTCCACAGGAAATAAACATTTGTATATTCTTATTCCTGTAATTCCATGGCCTTAGTTTCCCATGTCCTGCAGTTCCTCTTTCTGTTCACTCCACTCCCTGATCTCTTTTATAAATGTTGTTATTGATCGTACTTGAAAATGTAATTTTTGAAATTAATTGACCCATCAGCGCAATTTCGAATATAAAACATTTACAAATGCACAAAAGCAAGACAAAATAGCATTATTGGTAGTTTGCAAATATGAGATAAAGAAACGAATTTTAAAACTCGTGGTTGAAAGTCCCATTTGAGCTTCATATGACACGTTACATCATGAAAGTATAGAATGACCCTGAAAATTCAGAGTGACCATGAATTTTCAAAAGAAAGAAAGAAAGAAAGAAACTCTAAAGACAATGTTTTTCTTAACAGTATACTTGAAAAAAATAGCCTGTTAAAAAGTTTTATTGGTAGGTGGAAATTCTGGCCTGTATGGTAAAGTGTTCTCATAGAGTTTGGAAAAATCTTACTGATATAATTATGTGTTTTATTTCTCACAGTTGAGAGACAAGAAATTGGCTAGCAAAAAAATTCTCACCCAATAATTCCTAATGTGTACACATTTCACATTCCAATTCTCCATAAAAAATTGAATGACATGTAAATATTTAATAATGATTGTCTGGGGACTTTTTGTACAGTTCTTCAGGATTATGGAAGTTTTTTGAACATTGTGATTTATTTTCAGCTATTCTTATAATTCCACTGAAATTTTCAGTAAGACATAGTATACAAAAAAATAAGAATTAAAAAATAAGGCCAGGTGCAGTGGCTAATACCTGTAATACCAGGACTTTGGGAGGCCTAGGTGGGCAGATCACTTGAGCTCAGAAATTCCAGACTAGCCTAGGCAGCTTGAAGAAAGCGTCTCTACCAAAAATACAAAAATTAGCCCAGTGTGGTGGCACACACCTGTAGTGCCAGCTACTCACAAAGCTGAGGTGGGAGCATCACTTGAGCCCAGGAGGAGGAGGTTGCAGTGAGACGAGATCACGCCACTGCACTCCAGCCTGAGCCAGAGCGAGACTCTATCAAAAAAAAAAAAAAAAAAGTGGGACTACATTTTCCGACACCTACAAAAATAGAGGGAAAGCTGTTCTTATCAATGTTAGGAATTACAACTCCCACCTAGAATAATGACGTTCTGGTGTTAAAAGTCTTATTCAGTCTCAAAGTTCAATTTGCAACTCTTGCTTAAGTAAATCTTTACAAATTCAGATTGACTCTTGAAGGAATAGGCCATCTATGCCACTGAAGGTATAAACTGGTCCCAGCTCTGTCTCTATTCAACTGTGTGGTGATAGAAGGTTATTATCTTTGACATTTATGTCTTAGTTTGTTTATCCATCAGATAAAATGTCTGTAAGATACTCCAGTACTTAAATTCTAGGACCTTCTGAACCTGAGAATTGGAACATTCACTATCAACAACAAACATCTCTTTAGGAGTGTGATATGTCAGTGAGAGCAGCTGCCTCCACAGTGATGAGTGCAGATGTGGAGAGATGACCTCCATCTGGAAGTTCAGCAGGTCGTCTTCCCAACAGAGCCCTTTCTAAATAGCTGTTTGTGTGCATTTCTCACTAGCCTCCCTTAGCAACCCTTGAACATCAAGGTCAAGAAAAGATACACTTGACCCATCCATTTCCACTGCCAGCAACCAAGGCAAGGGTATCACTAGAGAAGGATGAAAGACAAGCTTGACAGCCACAGTCTGAGATTGTCTAGGGTAGAGCAACTGCATCCACCTCCTCCAGTCGCAAGGGACTTAATTTAAGAACAGATTCTATTCTGTTTCTTCCTGTCAGCTCTTTTATCCTATCATATTTGTTACTTTCAATATGCCACCTGATGCCACGTGAAGTATTGGAGGAATGTCAAAACACAGACTAGATAAATTCTGTCAAATAGGGTCGGCCATAGTGCAGGATAATTTTCTGGGTGGATTTTGATCAACCTAGTTCCCCGCTCTTTCTCACTTGTATTTCCCAAGAATAACTGCTGAATGTGCAAATAATGCAAAATCCTGAGATAGGGAGGAACTGGCTGGAATAACCTGCACTCTGTTCCAGTCCTCATTAGAAAGAAGCTATCCTTAATCACTTTAGCCTAATGTTTCATGTTACCCCAGGGCACAAAACTCAGGACAGGCTGCTTTCAGGAGTCCTTCAGCTGTGGTGCAAGTAAGGCACAGACACACCATACCCCTTCCTCCCCAGAGCAGCTTTTCTGAGCCTTGGAAGTCCAGGTTGCAATAAATCCTAAGCTATTTTCCATTGATGCCTACCTGTAAGTAATAAGCTCGCTTCATGTAACTTGTTTTGTGTGGGTGTTTCATCTCTCCAGATTCAGACAAACTGGCCACAGTGAACTGCACACACCAGACCAGTGATTGACTGCAAAACATTATTATAGCTACATATATGACAGAAACCTGGGAGAAACACATTATGCCAGCTCTCATCTCAAAATACATTCATAATCTGACCATTTATCACCACCTCCAATGTTACTCTCCTAATTGATGCAACCCTCTTCATTTTATTCTCCACAAAGCAGCTATGTGGTCTTTTAAAATGAGTCAGACCATGCTATTCTCTTGTTTAAAATCCTTCCCAGCTTCCTAACTCATTCAGAATAATATCCAAATTTCTCATCATAGACTGTAAAGCTACTATATGATCTGGACCTGAACTTCCTTTCAGACTTCGTTTCTTCTTTCCCTCTTCCTTACACTTTCTGCTCTAACCATTATGCTATTCTAACTATCCCACAAAGACATGAAGCACTCTTCTGTCTCAAGGCATTGCATTAATACTTTCTCCTTCCAAGACTCTATTCCCTTGGCTTTCTGCCTGCCATATCTCTTTTTGCCTATGCTCAGATGTCACCTAATCAGTGCTAACCAGCTATCTAATATAAAAGTCCTTTTATTTTCTTCTTTTACCTTTACCTTTTTTTTTTCTTCATAGATTTGTATGACATTATATTCCCTATTTTCTGATTGCTCAGTCTCATAATTCACTGGATTTAGTTTCATCATTGTATTCCAAGTGGTAAGAACAAAACATGGAACAAAACATTAAGCATTGACTTTGCTCTAAGAGTAAATGAATTTATTGTTGGCATCTTTAATGTATTTAAGTAAATCGAAACAAAAGTAACTTGGTGATATGAATCACTGGCCCAAACTATAAACACTATAAACATATTTCTTAAGTAGGGATGAAGTTAAGAAATACCACAACCAAATTTTAAAATGTGAAACAAATATATATGAAATTCAAGTAAGGTAAAAGTCTGGTTCTTAAGCTGCAGACTCAATTACATATGGGCCAAACGATCTCTTTAGTGCTTGTCATCACTTAATTAAGCATTTTTCTGAGATGATGGTGATGATGATAATGATGTTATTATTTTATAAGGAGAAAATCCCTAGGTATTTAGCTCCTCAAATTAGAAAACACATGAGGGAAAATTGTTCAAATAAGAGTATTTTGTCTATCACTTAGAAAGTTGATTGCAAATACACATATCCTTTCATATTCACTTGCCTTCAGTATTTCTTGTAGGTTTTTTTCCCCTAGGAAAATCTGCAACTTAAGAGGAAAAGTGGACTAAACTCTGAGTTGTAGAGACTAAATCTTTTTTTTTTTTTTAACCAGGATCCATTTCCTTATATTGCCAGTCATCTGCTGAGATTAAATGTCTGAAGGTTTTCCATCTATGAAACTGAACACTGAACAGAAAGTAATTATTTTACCTAGTTATTTGTGAAGTTTAGAGTTTTCACAAAAGAGACTGATAATTGCATAATTTAATACCACATAATGAACAATAGCCTGGGTCGCATCTGAGGTACTCTAGCCATTGGTTTCAAACAAATTTTGGTGAAAATCTATACTCAGCTACTTGTTCTTGGTGAATTCAGCATTATTGTTTACTTTTGTGATGCTAGAAATCTCAATCTACCTCAAAAGTATAGCGCTGGTTAATGCACTGGAATGCATTAGGATGTAAAATAAAGTATAACCTCCTTGTCAGTTTTATTTAAAATAAATGACTTTTCATCCCAGTGAGTTTTTATTGATTTGTCTAAAGAGTGGTGTGATAGTACTAAAAATAACCATATGCCCATATGTACTCATACCTTGTCTATACATATCAATTATTTCCTAATGCAAGGACCTGCAGTTCTATGATGAGCAATGGCTCTTTCAGCCCAAGGAAGTTTTCTTGGCACATGTGCAAAGCAGTTTCAAGTTGCTAAAATGATGATGCCCTTGAAAGCAACCAAAGATGATCCAGTTTCCTTATGCTTCAGGTAGAAGAATTCTGTTATACACTGTTTCCACTGAGTCTCAAAAGGGTTTTAGAATCAGTTATCCATGGAAGTGGCATGGTCATGTGTTTTTTTAAACCCTGTCCAAACTCCTCAATTTTTTAGTGTTATTCGAGATTGCCTCCAAAATAAACTACTGAAACTCAAATTCATGTATCAGTGTCTCCTTTGTTGGTACCTAAACTAAGACAGTTTGTGTCACATGTGGCCCTAAAAATCAGAGTTTTAGGTGGGGGATATGGCATCTTTCAACAACATGCTAACAGAATGATCATTGCCTGGACAATGATAAGTCACCTAGTATTAACCCATCATATGTTGTAAAAATAAATTTCTAAGATACATTTACATTAAACTGGGATAAAGTATTGTCTTAGGGTGGTCATTTGTGCTGCTATAATAAAATATCTTAGGCTGGGTAATTTATAAATAACCATTAATAAATTAAATAATTAAATATAAACATAATTTATAAATATTTATATTACTGTTATTTATAATAGTAATATGATTTATAAATAATAGACATTTATAACCGTAAACATAATAATAATTTATAAATAATAGACATTTATTCCTCACATTTCTGGAGGCTGGGAATTTCAAGATCAAAGTGCCTGGGTCCATCTGAGTCACACCTGGGGCTGGGGCAGCAAAGGAGTGCTGCACCAGAATATGGGGAGCGGAGACTTGAGGCAGCACTGGACAGTAGTACCGTGGTCCCTCTAGCACCCAAGGCTCCTCTTTTGACATAGTTCTGTCCCCCAGATCTTGGCATTCTGGGCCTGTGATAGAAGGGGCAGCACTGATAATCTCCAAAATGCCTTGGGAGTCATTTTTGCATTATATTGAAGAATAGCACTTGGATTCTGCCTATCCATATTCATCCCCTTATCAAATGATTGCTTAGCCACATCCTTGGTGTTCTCGCCTGAACATGATTTTCCATTCCATATTACATAGCCAGGCTGAGAATTTTCCTAATCTTTAAATTCTACTTCCGTTTTAATTATATATTCTGCCTTTACTCATTCTCTCTTCTCACGTTTACTATAAGCAGTTAAGAGAAGTCAAGCCACACCCTCAAGACTTTGCATAGACATTTCTGCCAAATATTTTATTTTATGACCCGGAAGTTATTCTTTCCATGAAACACTAGGACATAAACACAATTCTTCAAAGTTCTTCATTGCTTTACAGCAAGAATGATCTTTCCTCCTGTTTCCAGTAACATTCCTTATTCTGATCTGAGGCTTCATCTGAATGGCCTTTACCATCCATATTTCTACAAACATTCTTTTTACAAACACTTAGGTAATCTCTAAGAAGATTGAAGTTGTCTCTATAGCTCTCCTTTTCTGAGTCTTCTTCACCAGAATAATTCTTAACACTTCATTCATGGTAATATAGGCTTTATCTAGCATGCATCTCCAAGCTTTTCCATCCTCTGCCCATTACCCAGTTCCAAAGCAACTTCCACATTTCCAGACATGTGTCATAGCAGCACCCCACTACTCAGAACTATTTTCTGTTTTAGGATGTCTGTGCTGCTATGATAAATTATCTTAAACTGGGTAATTTATAAATAATAGAAATTTATTTCTCAGAATTAGGGAGGCTTAGAAATCCAACATCAAGGTGCTAGCAGATTTGGCATTTGGTGAGGGCTTGCTCTCCACTTCACGATAGGACTTTGTTGTTGTGCCTTCACATAGTAGAAGGGCAACAGTGCCAAACAGGCTCCCTTGAGCCTTCTGTAAGGTACTAATCCCATTCATGAGGGCAGCACCCTCATGACCTAATCATCTTATACAGGCCCTACCACTTAATACTTTTGCATTGGGGATTAAGTTTTAACATAAATTTGGAGGGACTAAGCATTCAGACCATAGCCAGTATGGTGGAAGAGCCTGCATTAGCTTTAACAGTATCTCTAGCGCTTACAGGATTTCAGGCCAAAGGTAAATATAAATCAATCAAAGTAGTCCTAAAAGAAAAAATTAAGAGGCTTAGGCCAGCCTTTTAACTCAGTGCATGTTTTGCAAGACAAAAGGTCTATTTGGTAACATTTTAAAATAACTTTATTTCCTCTTCCTACAGCCAGAGTAGAAAGTGTTGAAAGTAAAGAACCAGTAAAGTATAGCTATACAAAGGAGCTGAAAAGAACAGAGTAATTTGGTGTTAAAATACCTCAGGGTTAAATACCTATTTTATCCTGCTAAGCCAGAAATCTAAATCACCAGATATGTTGACAGAGGTTGAGGGAAATCTAAACTTTGTGGTTTAAAGGGAGAAAATGATTACTAATTATAGACATAAAGTTAATTGCAGTTGGGAAAACTTGTGGGATGAAGAGTATATGGGATCTCTGTATTATTTCTTGAAATTGCATGTATATTTACAATTATTATTTCAAAATAAAACTTCTTTTAAGTAATCGGGAAAAAAATGCAGTGCTCACTATATTTTATACCACAAACTCCCTTGATGTAAATATGTATTTAAAACTGTGACTGGCTGTGATCTTGCAAAGTCAGTGAAAAGACATAAGAAACATAATGTGAGATACAGATGGATTTGAAGAATGCAAGCAATAGGCTGTAGAAAAAACTGTTGGCATCCCACTCAATTTTTTTGGCACAAATTTATCTTGTTCCTAACTCTGATATATATATATATATATATATATATATTATTTGCTTATATGGAGTAAGCAAATTTTGCTCTAAAGCATATTAAGAAATATAATTAAACACAGCATTGTTGCTTTAATCCTTATTTCCAAGAAATATATATAGAAATTGTAGATGTACTTGCCCTCCATATTAATTATCCCAGTTTATCTGTGACACTTCAGCAGACTCTGAAATCTGGAAGTAGCCACAACTCTCTGACATTTATCCTTACAGAAGCATCCTTTCTAACTCCTTGGTTATCGAGGTTTTCTCTTTTGGGTAACTCATAGGCTGCATAGAAATTATTTTCTCCTTGGCAAATTCTTTTCTGAAAGCTGACACAATTACCAAATTATTTCCATTGTTGCTAGAAGGAATAGAGCCTAGATATTTTTCTTAGATCTATAATGGCTTTCCCTTTCATTTTATTCTATCTGTCTAGGCCATGCAGTTACTTATTGTCCAAAACTGTTTCTTCAGGAGATTCTTACCCCACTCAGTCCTCCAACCCATAATTCCTTGATCCATCACCATAAATTGGTTTTGTTTCAAATAGTGTTTCATAAAATTATAGAACGTTAGAGTTAGAGAGACAATTGGTCTCCCTAATTTATAGATGAAGAAAGTGTAGTTTTGACTACTTAGTTTATGAAAGAGCCTGAAGCTTGCATAATTTCAGTTACTTGTTTAAGGTATCACAGTAAGTTCAAGACAGAACTAAGACCAATAAAAACAATGTTTTACTATATTCCATACACAGCAGAGGCAGAAGTATAAAAAAAAGGAATGATGTTTTGCATGCTTATGCAAAGATACAGTATTCTATTTAAGATATTCTGGAAAGAAAACAGCTATCAATTAAATCAATATATAAATGTTCCAGTTGCATTGGTTATAAGAATTGTACTGATTTAAAATATATTAAAATATAAAAATGGTTATCTTAAAATAAAATACCATCATGGTGAAAATAATGAGTTATAGAGTGTTATGTGTTATGTGTTACGTACATGTGCTATTCAATTTTCACAATTATTTTCAATCTGTTCTATTAAAAATTAATTATTCATCTATACAAGTAATTCAATACTATAAACTACCTGCGAATTTTTTCTTTACTACTTGAAATAATCCAGAAAAGTCTCATGTTATTTTGCTACAGAAAAAAATAAGCTGCTGGTTTACACATTTTATTTTACATAACTATCATCTGGAGAACTTACTAAAACACAGATTCATGGCCTTTAACCCCAAATGCTCTGATTCAGAAGGTCTGGAGTGGTAACCCAGAGTACAATTTTCTATGAGCCCTGAGGATACTGCTGTTCTTTTATACACTTTATGAGCTTCATGCACTTTAAAAGTTAAAAAATCTTATTACATACAAGAGGTGGCTAATTTGCACATTCTATAATTTAAATAGAGTTTGGAGGTGTATTACTCTGTTCTCACACTGCTAACAAAGACATACCAAAGACTGGGTAATTTATAAAGGAAAAAGGTTTAATTGACACACAGTTCCACATGGCTGGTGAGGCCTTATAATCATGGCAGAAGGCAAAAAGAGGAGCAATGTCATATCTTACATGCCAGCAGGCAAGAGAACTTGTGCAGGGGAACTCCCATTTATAAAACCATTAGATCACATGAGACTTACCCACTACCAGGAGAACAGTATGAGGGAAACTGCCCCCACTCCTCATGATTCAATTATCTCCAGCTGGCCCTGCCCTTGACAAGTGGGGATTTTTACAATTCCAGGTGAGATTTGGTTGGGGACACAGCCAAACCATATCAGGAGGCATATCAATCAGTGCTTTCTCTTGTCATAGACAATAATAAAAGTAGTGTTATGGTCAGTGATTATTACAGTGTATATGGTAGGTAGTCTGAGTAGACTGGAAGGCAAGACTGATAAATATGACAATCAAATTTGAGCTTCAATTGTACAGAAGTAGGACCATGGAGATAGTTAAAGTAATAAGGTTCTGAAACTCATCTAGCAGCATAAATGTGAATAATGCAAAGAGAAAACAATGTTATTGTATGCCCTTTTATACTAAAGACATGTGTTTTACAAACCACCATTATAGTATTATATTATTCTGAATCTATGTGCTTACTTTTATCAGTAATTTTATACTAGCAGATGATTTAATGTTACTCATTAGTATCCTTTTCTTTCATCTTGAAGAACTCTCCTTAGCATTTCTTGTAAGACAGGTCTGGTGGTGACAAAGTCCTCAGCTTTTCTTTGTCTGGGAAAGTCATTATTTCTCATTCATTTCTGAAGGACGGTTTTGTTCTAAATAGTACTTTTGGGCTTTTGGTTGTCAGTTGTTTTCCTCTTCAAAACTTTGAGTACATCACACTATGCTTTCCTGGACTGTAAGGTTTTTGCTGAGAATCTTGCTACTAGCTATATTGGAAATTCTTTTTGCTATTTGCTTCTTTTCTATTGCTGCTTTCAGAGTCCCCTATTTGTCTTTGATTTTTGACACTTTTATATACTATGTCTTGAAATTGTCTTATTCAGATTAAATCTGATTGGAGACCTTTAACTTTTATCTGCATGGATACTTTCATCTTCCTCCAGGTTTGGAAAGTTTCCTGCTTCTGTTTCTTCAAATAAGATTTCTACTCTGTTATATTTCTCTTCTGTTTCAAACTCCTATGACTAAAAATAATTCTCTTTTGATGTTTTCCCATAAATCTTGTAATTTCTTCATTACTTTTCACTCTTTTTTCTTTCTTCTATGGCTGTATATTTTCAAATAACTTATCTGTGAGTTCACAGACTCTTCTGCTTAACCAATTTTGCTCTTGATGTTTTCTATTTTATTTTTCTTTTTATTCATTGCATCTTTCAGCTCCAGGATTTCTATTTTATCTATTTTTATTTTTTTCAATCTCTCCGTTAAATTTCTTATTCTAGTTACTTGTTGTTTTCCTCATTTCATTGAATCTTTTTTCTTCTTGAAGTTCTCTGAGCTCCCTTAAAGTACGTTTTTTAAATTTTTTGTCAGATATACCATATATCTGAATTTCTTTACAGTCAGTCATTGGTACTTTATTTTGTTCCTTTGGTGATTTTATGTTTCCCTGATTGTTCTTGATCCTTGTGGTCATGAATCAATGTCTCCACATTTGAAGGAGTATGTATTTACTCTCATCTTCACAGATTGGTTTTGTCTCAGAAAACCCTTCAACACTTAGCCCTTCCAGAGATTCTAGGCAGACCATGTGGCACAGATCTAAAGCCCAGGACCTGCTCTGACCAACTTGGCACTGGGGCACACAAGAAGCCCAGGGTCCACTGAGTCCCATTTGCCACTGAGTGCTGTCTAGAGCATAGGGATTCTGAAGTCAGTTGACAGTGGTGCAGCCTTGAAGCCTGGTGCCAGGGCAGTCCTAGAGGCTCAGTCTATGGGTACTAGCCTGGAGCCTGGGTTCTAGAAGTCTACTCATTTCTAGGTTTTACTGTGATGGACCTGATGTTTGTGTCCAAGGCAAAGTCCTGTGCTCACTTTTCTATTTGCTTCCAAAGGAATGGTATCTCTCTCCACACAGTGCCACCTGAGGTTGAGAGATGGGTGATGTAAATAATGTAAAAGTGTTTTTTCTATGTAACCTCAATCAAAATAATGTTTTCTTATTGTTGTGTTACAAGCAGTTTCTGTGATCTCTTACCTGGTTTCCTTAGCTCTTCTGAAGGTAATTTTGTGTATGGATGGTTGTTAAGATTGATTTTTAAAATAAATTTCAACTTGTTTATGTTTTTCTTTTGTTGTCTTTGCTTTTGCTGTCCTTTTCTTCTGAAAAAAAAAGTTGTCAAATCTCAAGTCATGAAGCTTTTTCCTTATGTTTTCTTCTAAGAGTTTTATAGTCGTAGCTTTAGCATGTAGGACTTTGATTTATTTTGAGTTAATTTTTGTATATGATGCAAGGTAAAGGTCCAGCTTCATTCTATTGCATATAGATATCTAGTTATCCTAGTAATATTTTTTAAAAAGATTGTCTTTTCCGTCATTGAATGGTCTTGACACACTTGTTGGAAATTATTAAACATATATACAATGTTTTATTTTTCCATAGTCTCTAGTCTCTTCTATTGGTTAAGACATCTGTCTCTATGCCAGTACCACACTCTTTTGATTACTGTAGCTTTGTGGTAATTTTTTAACAAAGGAAGTGTGAGTCCTTTGACTTTTTTCTTTTTCAAGGCTCCTTTTTCTATTTGAAGTCCATTGAGATTTCATACAAATTTTAGGATAGATTTTTCTATTTCTGTAAAAAGAAAGGCTTTGTCATTTTGAAAAGGATTGAATTGAGTATGTAGATTAGTTCTGATAATACTGACATCTTAAAAATATTAGCTTTTCCGATTCATGAACATGGAATGATTTCCCATATATTGATGTCTTCTTTCATTTGTTTCAGCAATATTTTGTAGTTTTTATTTTATGATTATTTTACTTCCTTTGTTAAGCCAATTCTGAAGTATTTTAATCTTATGCTATTGTAAATTACAATTTTTTCTTAATTTTCTTTTTAGATTTTTCAGTGTTGGTGTGTATAAATGCAACTAATTTTGTGTTTATTTTGTATTCTGCTATATTGCAATTTTGTTTATAAGCTCTAAATAATTTTCTACAATCTTCAGGGCTTTGTACATATCACATCATACAAGCTGCAAACAGAGATAATTTAACATTTTACTTTCAAATTTGGATGACATTTATTTTTTTCTTGCCTAATTGCTCTGGCTAGGTCTTTTAATTCTTTGTTGAGTAGACCTATTAAGAGCAGGATTCCTTGCCTTATTCCTGATCTTAGAGGAGCAACTTTCAGTCATTCAACATTAAATATAATGTTCACTATGGGTTTTTATATATGGCCTGCATTATGTTGAGATAATTTTCTTATAGTCCTTGTTTGTTGAGTAATTTTATCAAGAAAGAGTGTTGGATTATGTTCAATGCTTTTTCTCCATCACTAAACATGATCATGCTGGTATTATTTTTTCCCCTCATTCTGCTAATGGAATTTATTGCATTGATTTTAATATGTTGAACCATCCTTGCATTCCAAAAATAATTTCCAGTTAGTTATGGTATATAATTCTTTTAATACACTGCTGAATTCAGTTTGTTAATGTTTTGTTTAGAAATTCTGTATTAATGTTGATAAGGGACATTGGTCTGTTGTTCTGCTTTCTTAAAGTGTCTTGGTGTCTGGGTTTAATATCAGAGCAATGCTGGCCTCAGAGATTGAGTTAGAAAGTATTCCCAGATCTATAATTTTTTGGAAGAGTTTGAGAAGGATTAGTGTTATTTTACTTTTAAATGTTTGCTAGAATTAATCACTGAAGCCATCACCTCCAATAATTATCTTTGTTGGGAGATTTTTGATTACTGACATAATTACAGATATATTCAGATTTTCTGTATTTCATGATTCAGTTTAGTGTTTTTAGAAATTTTTCCACTTCATCTAGGGTATCCAATTTATTGGTGTATAGTTGTTCATTGAACTATGTTATGATTTTTTGGTTACTGTAGAATTGAAAATAATGTTCTCACTTTAAATTCTGATTTTTCTAATTTCAGTCTTTTTTTTCCTGTCAATTTAGCTAAAGTTTTGTCAGTTTTGCTTACTTTCCAAACAACTAAGGCCAGATGCAGTGGCTCATGTTTGATATCCCAGCACTTTGGGAGGCCGAGGTGGAAGGATCACTTGAGACTAAGAGTTTGAGATCAGCCTGGGCAACATGAGATCCCATCTCTACAAAAAATAGAATAAAATTAGCAAGAAATGGTGGCATGTGGTCTGTATTTCTACCACTTAGGGGGCTGAGAAGGTAGGATGACTTGAGCTCAGGAGGTCAAGGCTGCAGTGAGCCATGATCATACCATCGCACACCAGCCTGGTTGAGATTCTGTTTAAAAAGAAAAAAAAAATCAAATAATCCACTTTAAAAAATGTTTAATTTCAATAGCGTTAGGTGTACAAGTGGTTTTCAATTACATGAATGAATTGTATAGTGGTGAAGTCCAGGATTTTAGTGCACCCATCACCCGGGTAGTGTACCTTGTACACAAAAGACAGTTTTTCATCTCTTACCGACTGCTATCTACCCCCATTCTGAGTCTCCAGTGTCCATTATATCACTCTGTATGCCTTTGCATTACCATAGCTTAGCTCCCACTTATAAGTGAGAACATGTGATATTTGGTTTTCAATTTCTGAGTTACTTCACTTAGAATAATGGCCTCTGGTTCCTTCCAAGTTGCTGCAAAATATATTATTTTGTTAATTTCTGTGGCTAAGTAGTATTCCATGGTGTATATATACATATCACATTTCTTTCATCCACTCATCGGTTCAGCACTTAAGGGGACTCCATATATTTGCAATTGTGAACTGTGTTACTATAAACATATGCATGCAGGTGTCTTTTTTATATAGTGACTTCAAATAACCCACTTTACCTTATTAATTTTCTCCATTTTTTCATTAGTCTCCATTTTGTTTATAACTTCTCTAATTTTTATTTCCTTCCTCCTGCTAGCATTTGATTTTAGTTTGTTCTTCTTTTTCTAGTTTCCTAAGTTTTAAAGTTAGGTTGTTGATTTATAATCTTTCTTGTTTTTTACAGTAAGCATTTATAGCTCTAAATTTATTCCTTAGCACTGCTTTTGCTTCATCCCTTGTTTTTTTATGTTGTGTTTTAATTTCCCTTTGTCTCTAAGTATTTTCTGACTTCCCTTTTGATTTATTCTTTGACTCATTGGTTAAGAGTGTGCTTTCATTTCCACATTATTTGTGAATTTTCTAGTTTGCTTTCTGTCTCTGATTTCTAACTTCACCTTGTTGTGCTCAGAGAGGTAACTTTGTATGATATAAATATCTTTGAAAATCTATTGAGATTTAATTTGTAGGCCAATTTATTGTCTATCCTGTAAAATGTTCCATGTGCAATCAAGAAGAATACGTATTCTGTGGCTGTTGGGTACAGGACTCTGTATATGTCTACTAGATCTAGTTTATTTATTATGCTGTTTCAGTACAGGATTTCCTTACTTATCTTCTGTCTGGTTGTTCTATCCACTACTGAAAGCAGGATATTGAAGTCCCCAACTATTATTGTAAAACCATCTACTGTTTTCAGTTTTGTCTGTTTTTGTTTCATATATTTTCATAATCTGCTATTAGGTGCATAAATGTTTATAATTATTATATCATCTTGCTGTATTATTCTTGCTGTACTTAATAATATATAATGTCCTTTTTCTCTTGTATACTGTTTTGATTGAAAGACTAATTTTTCTGATATTAATATAGGCACCCTACACTTTTAGTTACTACTTACATGGAATATATTTTCCCATCACTTGACTTTAAACTTACTTGTGTCTTTGAATCAAAAGGAGGTCTTTTGTAGACAACATAAAGTTGGATCATGATTTTTTGTTTTTTTTTAATCAATTCTGTCAATCTCTATTTTAGACTGGAAAGTTAAGTCCATTTACACGTATAGCAATTACTAATAATAGAAACTTACTCGTGTCATCTTGCTATTTGTTTTCTACATGACATAATTTTTGTCCCTCGTTTCCTGCATTACAGTTCTTTTTTCCATTAGTTGATTTTTGTCCCAAATGCTTTTGTTTGCTTCTCCTTTCCTTTTTTGTATAGTCTGTAAGTATTTTATTTACCATATGAATTAAATTTAACATCCTAAAGTTATAACACTCTAATTTGAATTTATAGTAGCTTAACTTCAATGACATTAAAAAAACTGTGGCCGAGCACAGTGTTTCACGCCTGTTATCCCAGCACTTTGGGAAGTCAAGGCGGGCAGATCACCTGAGGTCAGGAGTTCAAGACCAGCCTGACCAACATGGAAAAACCCTGTCTCTACTAAAAATACAAAAAATTAGTTGGGTGTGGTGGCACATGTCTATAATCCCAGCTACTTGGGAGGCTGAGGCAGGAAAATCTCACTTGAACCAGGGAGGTGGAGGTTGCAGTGAGCCAAGATTGCGCCATTGCACTCTAGCCTGGGCAACTAGGCAAAAAATTCTGTCTCAACAAAACAAAACAAAACAAAACAAAAAAACCTCTGTTCCTTGACAGTTCTGTCCCCACCCCTTCGTTTTTTTATGTCATAAAATTACATCTCTATATCTTGTATGTCTCAAAACAAACTAATCATTGATTTTTCAATGAATTCATCTCTTATATTATGTAGAAAAAAATGTGAAGTTACATCCTGGATTGAAGACTGAGAATGCTGGCGAAAAATTCCTAGTTTTTAATTCACATTTGTAATCTTATGTAAAATACATTTTACAAAATTCATAAACTTTCATCTATTTTTGAATTATTTTATTCAAATTTAAATAGACTCTTCAATGTTTTCATTATTCTTCAGCTCTGTTTTTTCTCCATTATTATTAACACTCATGAGCAGAGAAAGTAACATAAATTAGCATATGTATGAAAATGTGAAATAGAGAAATTTTTGAAGAAATGAAAGATAATGGCATTGTATCTTTGAATAGCATATGGAAATGTTATATAAATAGCAATGCGCATTAGACATTTATAAACAATAATGATTTTCAGTTATGTGTAAATTATAAGCCAGTAAGAGAGGATATTAACAAAAAGAAAGTTTTTAGGTCATTAGTCAATAGTATTATCTTTTTATCTTAAGTAAACTGAGTATTTATAGAATTTTGTTTGCTTTTTGAAATCATTTCAGGTATATTTTATTCTTTACTTCTCATGTCATGATCACTGAAATAGGGAAGACACTCCTTCCCTGTTGAGGTTGAAGTTGCTCTTCACTGCTCTTTTCCTTCCCTGTTTTATTACATTTTAGCAAAGGTGGGTTTTTTCTTTAAGGTTCTCATATCTCTTTTTATTAAAAACTTGTACCATGTTCTTCTAGGACTGAATCAAAGGATATTTGAGCTGTATCTTGTAATGTTACACTCCAAAGATCCTTCCTGCCAGCAATTCCCTCCAGGAAAACGCCCAGAGATGTGATCTATTTTACCTTCAGGGTAAAGTTTGCAGACAACCTATACCATTTTCTGAAAGACTTGGGTATACACATTTGTTTAAGAGTCTAATTCTGTTGTCTTAAGTTCTAATAATTTATCCTCATGCATCCTTTGCTATTTCTGTAGAGGATTTCTGGTAACCTAATTCAAAATGTTTCAGGTGGATATGCTTCTAAGTTATTTCTTGTTCTGTTTATACTATGATACCTAGATTCAAAATTTAATAACTTTCTGATTATAGAATCATAAAGAGTTAGATATATAAGGGCCTTTAGAAATAATTTATTTCAACACTCTCATTTTATAGTTTCGACTGAGTCCCAAATATATTAGTGTTGGTTATCTATAAGCCCATGTTTCTCAAAAGCCAATTTGCCACTCTCTGCCCTAAAATGTGCTGACTTCAGTATAAAATGCTGACTTTATTCATGGAAAGAGTTGTGCATATATTAATCATTAATTTTAATGGTGCAATCATACATACTCACTCAAAGTTGAAAACATGGAAGAGATCCCTTGGCTGGAAAACAAGTAATGTCAGCTCTTACTGTACAAACTGTTGTGTTCTACTGTCATGAATTTATATAGGATAGCTCTCAAGGCATTTATATTTCAAAATTTCCTTTGCATCCTTAGGGGTCCTCGATTGTAAGAAAAACATATAAACCTTAGATTTTAACAGAAGAAAAATGTAGTGGTAAACAAAAGGCACTTGATGAGAATATGTGTGTGTGTTTGTGTGTGTGTGTGTGTGCATGTGTTTGATTTTTGTTCCTAGTGGTGGCAGCCAGGGAAAGTGTTTAAGGAAGACATAAGCCAAGACTACCCTCAATGTTAACATTCAAATATTATTTTTCAAGTCGTACACATGGCTTTTGACAGGTCATGTTATGCACCATTCATGGAAAAATGTATAAAATGCTGTTTGTACTCACCAGATTACATGGGACAGCACCATGTAGTAGGTTTGAAACACCTATTAACTTATTTATTAAAAAATGAAAGTATAGATTATTTTTAAAACTACTGACTTTGTAAGACAAAAAGAAAATAAAAAAGACAGTATAAAGAAGTAGAGTATAATAGGACTATATAACTCTACTGAATGCTTACTTGCTAATGGATGTTTTCTTGGATGACAACTTTCTTCCTGTGATGCAGCTAAGCAGAGTACTGGGTCTTGAGACACACTTCTACAATTGAGTAGCTCTGGTTAATCACACAATGTAATAGAATGTGGTCACAGGATGCTAAGGAAAGGGAACACAAGTGAATGAATTTACCTGAAGAAAGCTAATTAGAGAACACAAAGAGGTAGCAGTTGTGTTAATAACACAAAGGTAAAAGTAATTCAAGAGAGAGTGATGTTAACAAGATGTTTGACTAAGAAAGTCTGGGCCCTTACCTCCCTCACTTAAACATTATAACACAAACAACCTGTAAGACTGAATTAAAAAAACCTAGAAAACCTGAATAGATATATAACTAGTAGGTTAATTGAATCAATAAGCAAAATTTCCCAACAAAAAACATCCCAGGATCAGATGGCTTCACTAGTGAATTTTACCAAACATTTAAAGAATTAACAACAACCATTCTCAAACTCCACCAAAAAAAATTAAAGATGTGGGAACACTCTCTAACTTACTTTATGAGGCTAGCAATACCATGATATCAAAGGCAGACAAAGACATTAAAAGAAACAAAATACAAAATTACAGACCAATATTCCTTATGAATATTGATACAAAAATCCTCAACAAAATACTAGCAAATCAAATTCAAGAGCATATTAAGAGGATTATTCACAATTATTTAATGAAATTTACTCCTAGGGTACAGGACAGGTCAACAAATAAAATCAATCAATGAAACACCACATTAACAGAATGAAAGAAACCCACATGGTTATCTCAATTGATGAAGAAAGACAGAATTATTTCTTATCTATTGACAGAATTCAGTACAATACACTTTCATGACAAAAACACTCAACAAACTAAAAATTGAAGAAGACTACCTCACACAATAAAGGCCATATATCAAAAGCATTTAGTTAACATCATCCTCAGTGCTGAAAGACGAATAGCTTTTCCTCTAACATCACAGACAAGGCAAGGATGCCACTGCTTCTATTAAATAAAATATTGAAAGACCTAGCCAGAGCAATTAGGCAAGAAAAATAAATACAACCCTTTCAAATTGAAAAAGAAGAAAGATAATTATCTTTGATCCCAGGTGGCATGATCTCATATGTAGAAAACCCAAGAAATTCCACAAGGGAAAAAAATTAGAACTAACAAAATGGATTCAGCAAAGTTGCAGGATACAAAAATCAAACTCCCAAAACAGTGTTATTTCTATACACTAACAATGCATAATTTAAAAAGGAAATTAAGAAAAGAATTCAATTTACAATGGCATCAAAAAGAATAAAATACTTAGGAATAAGCTTAACCAAAAAGGCAAAAGACTGGTACATTGAAAACTACAAAAACCTGCCAAAAGAAATTAAAGATACAAGTGGAAAGACATCCCATGTTTACGGACTAGAAAATAATATTTTTAGGATGTCAACACTATCCTAAGTAATCTACATATTCAATGCAATCCCTACCAAAATGACAATTGCATTACATAAAATAAAAACATACAAATTCATCCTAAAATTTGTATGAAATCTCAGTGTACCCCAAATAGACAAAATAGTCTTGAAAAAGAAGAAAAAAAATCAAAGGACTCATACTTCCTTATTTTAAAAATTACTACAAAGTTACAGTAATCAGGGTCAAGTATATTGGCTAATGTCTGTAACCCCAGCCCTCTGGGAGTTACAGACATTAAAAAAGGTGGAGGATTACTTGAGGCTAAGAGTTCATGACCAGCCTGGGCAACATAGTGAGATCTTGTCTCTATAAAATAATTTTAAAAATAGCTGAGTGTGGATGCATGTGCATGTGCCAGTAGTCTAGCTACTTGGGAGACTGAGGCAAGAGGACTGCTTGAGCCCAGGATGTTCAGGTTGGAGTGAGCCAAGATCTTGCAACTGCATTCCAGCCTGGGTGACAGAGTAAGACCTCATCGCCAAAAAAAAAAAAAAAAAAAAAAAAGAAAAGAAAAGAAAAGAAGCTACAATCAGAAGAGCGTGCTATTAAAGGCAGACATCTTAATCAATGAAAAGAAAAATACAGACCACAGGGGGAGAAAAACAAAAAACCTTTGCATATATGGCCAAATTATTTTAGACAAGAGCATTAAAACCATTCAATGAGGAAAGGATTTGTCTTTTCAACAGATGGTACTAGGAGAAGTGAATATTTACATGCAAAATAATTAACTCTTACCTTATGCCATATGCAAAAATTAACTCAAAAATGGATCAAAGACCTAAATTTAAGAAATAAAACAGGATACTTTTGGAAGAATACATAGAGGGAAACTTTATTGCATTTGATTTTGCAAAGAGTTTATTCGGTATTACACTAAAAGTAAGGCAACAAAAGAAAAATGTAGACATATTAAGCTTCTTCAAAATTTAAAAATTTTGTTTATTAATGATGTAATTAATGAAGTCAATAGATAACCCACAGAAGGGGAGAAAGTATTTACTGTCATGTTTAATAAAATATTAATATTCAGAATATATATAGAAATCCTACAACTGAAAAACAAAAACAAACTCAATGAAAATATGAGCAAAGGACTTGAACAGATATTTTTTTCAAGAAATGAACATCACTTATGGAAAAGGAAATGCAAATCGAAACCACAACGAGGTATCACTTCACACCCATTAGGCTTATTATTATCAAAATAACAAAAAATAACAAGTGTTAATGAGAATGTGGATTTATTGCAATTCTTGTACACTTCTGGTGGGAATCTAAAATGGTACCTCCACTGTAGACAATAGTATTAAATTTAGAATTTCCATATGATCCAGCAATTTCACTTTGGAGCATATACTCAAAATAATTCAAAGCAGGGACTCACACAGATATTTGTATACCATAGGCACAGCAGCACCAAAAGGTGGATGAAAGGCTAAACAAAATATGATATATACACACAATGTATTATTTTTAACCTTAAAAAATAAGGAAATTCTGTGACATGCTACAACATGGATGAACCTTGAGGACATAATGCTAAATGAAATAATGTAGGCACAAAAAACCAAGCATTGTATGATTCTACTTTTATAAGATACCTAGAACAGTCAAATTCCTAGAAATTGGATGGTAGTTGCCAGTGCCTAGAGGAGAAAGGAATGACGTGCTAAGTTTAATGTGTATGAAGTTTCAATTTGTGAAGATGATCATAGTTCTGGGGCTGGATGGTGATGATTGCTCTATAACAATGTGAATGCACATAATGCCACTGAACTGTGCACTTAAAAATAGTTAAAATGTAAGTTTTGGTAATATTTTGTTCAAATATATAAATATATACCAAATATATTTCTGCAATAAAAAATGCATCTATATCTTTTAGAATGTCACACCGTTGTTGGGAATGAGACACCCTTACTCATTTGGAGATCACTGCGAAAGCCCCATCCATCTATCCTTATACATTTCCAGTTTTGAATGTAACCTGACAGAGTGCCTGATGAATTCAGTCCATGCCACTGACATATAGGTTAAAAAGTATAAGAAGAACAAACATCATCATACATTGCAAAGAAATAACTTTTGGATACCTATTATGCAATAGCTGCTGTATTTGGCAGTAATAATAAATAGAAAAAGAAGACAAAGTTTTATCACTAAATTAGAAATGTAAATAATACTTACAATAAAATTTGGTGAGTGCTAAACAGATTGTATGCTCAGGTGCAGTGGAAATCTTGACACTCTGTCCTGAGATATGCTGAAGACAATTGATAAATACATTTTTTTTAAGGATTTGTCAAAGTGATAAAATTTATTTTGTATTTTTAAGATAAACATTATAAAGTTGTGATAGTTTCCCTATCTATAAAACATCTTCTGATTGCTGATACATATCTATCCCATTAAATTGTTATAAAAACAACTAAGGAAAATAATGGATATGTACAGTATCAATTAGGAAGAGATACAATCAAAACATTTCTTATCAAAAGGTTTTTTTGCAATGCACTGCTAACAGTTATTGCTATGGCAACTCAATTATCTTGAAATATTCAGATTACACTGAAACATCATACTATTGAAAATCAACATTTTCACTTTTATTATTTATCATACTTTTAATATAAAAATAACACTTGTTTGAGATTCCTTTGTTCAATTTTTCTAAAAGATAATATTAGAAAATATTGTCTATAGGTAAACAGAGTATTCAAGAACAATGAGTTTAGGGAAAAAAATAAGGAAAACCATCCCTAAACCTCACCATCCTATACAGAAATTTGAAATTTGAAAGCAGGTAAAAGTAAATCACTGTAGAGTCTTTAATATAAACTTTACATTTCATACATGAAAGCTTCAAGAGGAGGACCCAAAACAACAACATTGAATCAAAATACTACAAGTTTTTTTTTAAACAAATTTTAGAACCATTTATGATGGTGGTTCACTCACCTTCTCATAGGTTCTTCAAGGTGCAGGAAACTGACAAACAGGTAAGAGATAGTCATGCAAGTGATATGAGAGGAAAAAAGGGGTGGCACAAATGCTGATATAAATGTGTATAATTAAATGACTCATAGCAGGAAAAATGCAGCAACTGAGTAAACACATTTCCCAAAGAAACTACAAGAACAAAATATTCTAAACTCACAGTGACAATTAGAAGTTTCACTGATTTACATACTGGTTGAAGCTGAGCATATTATAAACCTACCAAACAAAACTTTTATCTGGTCAGGGATCAAAGAATTCATTAGTCATGGTAAGACTCATGTTAAGAGAGTTTATAAACATTGGGTATCCTTCAAAATGATTCAAACTGTTTAGTCTTCCTAAGAACATAAGAATATTTTGACATACCATATATTTTAAACCATAAATAGCTCAGCAATCAATTTCTCAAATCAGATATGTCTTGGGGTTTAAGCACAGAATATTTGAGATTGAAGGAATAGTGAGTAAAGCACTATATGGTAACACACTTTTGCATCTTTGATGTGGGAAATGGAGAATTTAATACAACTACCATCCCTTCCTTTGACAAAAATCCCTCTTAAAGTGGAAATTTCAGTTTAAAATTTTGTGTGCCTACAATTTTTTTTTATACTGAAGATAAAGATCTTTCAAAGAGTAGCTTTTCCTAGCCCAACACATGTTTAATTATTATCAACAATAGTTGAAGAGATTTTCCTGAAATATTGGCTTAGGGAAATCAGGATAGTGTTCAGAACGTTTAAACTCTCTGATATCACAACCTCAATATTTCAGTGACTTCATATAATCATAATGTTGTTTTTTTTTGTTTCCCACGCCTCGCTCAGAGTAATCCAACACAGTTATCCTTACTTAAACCATTTTCTTCCAAGTGACAAGGATCCAGGCTCTCTCCATTTTGTGACTCTACCTTCCTCATGCTCCTCAGTGTCCTGTCCATTTAGTCAGTAGACAGAAAAAGAATGGAAGACGGGGTGTGGGAGGATTTCACGAGCTGTACTTGAAAGTGGTATATATCATTTCTTCCCACACTCTTTTAGCTATAATCCAGTCATATGGCTTCATCTAATCCCAAAGGAGGATAGGGACTGTCACTGAGCTTTGTGTTTGGTGAACAGCCAGTAAATTGGGCAATTTATCTCTTCATAGATAAGGATTTCTATTTTCTGAGTTTATTTCTTGTGAGAACAAAACAAGATTTTATACTCACTTTATCTAACATTATCTGCTTTTCAGGCCTGTGTGTGTGAGCGTGAGCATGTATGAGTTTAATAAAAATATTACTTTGCCAAAACACTCTAAAGCAGAAGTTTGTTTTCATTCTACCATTACTATCTTTTCGGCATCATCTTTCTGCCTCAGGGTGCACATCTTTTTTGACTTCAGAGTTAGGCCAGAACACAGTGCTCCCATCACTATATTACACCCGGTTCTTCCTAGTATAACAGTACTTTAAACTCCTTTCTAGATGTCCAGTCCTCTTCAGAACGTACATGTCTGTTGTTGCATAATTTTAAGTATCATCTTGTGACTTGTTAATATGCTAAAGCCTTAATGAGAAATAGTATAAAGTTTCTCAGAAAATGGTCCCTAAATCCACTACATCAGAATCACCTGAGGTATTTGTTAACTTTTGAAAATCTAAACCAGGAATTGAGAATTGCAATCTCCTAGAGATGACTGAAACCTGCGTTTAAAAAACCACTTCCAAGTGGCTCTATTGCACATCAAATTTTAAGAACTAAAAGCTCAGTGGTACTATCTTCCAAGATAACACATTTCGATTATTACAGTGACCTTCATATAATTTCATATAACCACATAACAAATGTTATATAGACTTCAACTGAGATCAAATAAAACAAGGACACTGTTCTCCTCACAAAACTTTAATATTATTCAACTAAGACAAACACCCAAGAGACAAACATCTCTTGAATTCAAAGACAGCACGAAATGTGAATGCTGCTCCTAATACAAAATTTAAAAATGAACAAGGCTGTCATTTAGATTCTTTACAAATAAACAGGAAACTCAGGTAAAAAAATAGCAAACGGCTGATAGCAATCAGAACTGCAACTAAGTTAGATGAGTTTCCTGTAGCTTCCAGGTGTCTTTATAATTGAAATAAATGACTCCTTAAAAAAAAGCAAAATAAATTAAATTATGAAGAGAAGGATGCCTGACAACAGTTTAGAATATGTGTAAATGCATATATATTTTTAATGCATTTGACACTTCAAGATGCCTAGCTAGATAAACCAAACCAGGTCATCAGCTTTATACTACGTTTACAAGATAAAAATTAATATTTTTAACAGAAAGTATTATTTTATCGTAAAGTACTTTAATAAAGATGTTTTTCTTAATACCTTTCTTATTGGAAACTAAGTTTTCTAGAGATACATAAAATGCAATGCAAAGGCCCAAATCATTTCATTATTTAAATATAAAACAAAAGGTATGCCTGGAGGGGCATGGAACCCCATGGTTTCAGTCTGTCCTATACAAATATATACAGTACGTAATGATGATTGTTAGAATTATCTGAATTTTTATTAGCCCTTCCTTTTTGTTGTGATAACATTTCTTTTACTACTTCTACTCTTTCATATCAACACCACCACAGCTGCCACCACACCAAGAGTTAGATTTAGCTAGTTAGTTCCTGAAAATTCTTGAGATGAGGGTAGACACAGGAGTGAAGTGGGTAAAATAGAAAACCTCTTCTTATACCAATGAAACTTTTTATAAATCAAATACAATTTTTATTACTTCCTCAAAAGAATTAGCGCACCCTGCTGCTAGTGCCAAGGATGACATAGGCACCTGATGTACAGCACTTTTTCTCTTTAAATTCCAAGAATCTCTGAATACTGTTGAACATAATTGTTAAAATTCATGTTATTAAGAGTCTTGTTGAAAAAGTATGATTTTGCTAATTAATGTGAAATAGATTACTATTCTTTAATACAAATATTTTGTATTATTCTTTATTAATACAAACATTTAATACAAATTCACTATGGATGAGTTTTTTTTCTCCATATTTTAAATTCTTGGTCTCTGAAACGTTGATAAGGAAGCTGTTACTCAGGCACAAGTGATTCTGCATTGCTGAAAATGCTTCCCAATGTTCTTAGGAAGTCATGAGTCTTTAGTGATTAATATACCGAAAAACACTGAGCTGTGGGATGGGTGGTTCATCACTTTCCAGTAGGTGTGTTTTTATTTTGATTGCTAACTGTGACCATCCAGGAATACTAGTGCCATTTAACTACTTTGGGAATTATTTTGGTGGCTAGAATGTACAGCTATTCATAATTATGGTAATTGTATTTTTAAGTAGTGACTTATTTTTAAGTAGAGGCATTTAAGCATTTAGAAATAGAAGCTCCATTCTGGTGCCACTCCAATGTTGCTTTAGTGTATCTAATTGCCTAAATGGATTTCAGCTCTTTAGCTGCTGTCATTATAGCAAGTCCCAATAATAAGCAATGGTTACTCAGGGAAATGTGTTTACTTCGAGAGGATGGAAGCATTTGCACTGCTTTCTAAATGTGAATTCTGCCCAGAACTCATAAATGTGCTCATCGATGGTGTGACTTCTTTGATAGCTCTATTTCAATATACTAAATTGCACCTGAAGATTATTTGACAAAGTAGGAAGGAAAACTTCAACAGGTTTCCATGGCTTCAGGGTGAAGACTTTGAATCCCTATAGCCATCAGGGTAAAGATAAAAAGCCCTTGTGAACTCACTATTCCCATTTCCTCCTTTCTATCCTCTGCTCCAAACTGCTTGGCCACTTGCATTCCTGATTCTATCAGTCTCTCACTTCCTTTATTTCACTTATGTTTCCCCTGCTTAGTATTACAGATTATCCTTGGTGCTGTCAAAACATCCTGCTTCTTAGTCTTTGAAAATAATATAATAAACATTGTTTTAATAGAATTATTTTTCATAATTTTTTTTCTTTCCTGACTCCAAATTTAAACTCAAAGAAGGTAGGACTATTGAGTTTTTTCTTTGTTTTTTTTTGTTTGTTTGTTTTCGTGAGATGGAGTCTTACTCTGTCGCCCAGGCTGGAGTGCAGTGGCGTGATCTCGGCTCACTGCAAGCTCTGCCTCCCGGGTTCACACCATTCTCCTGCCTCAGCCTCTCGAGTAGCTGGGACTACAGGCATCCGCCACCTCCCCTGGCTAATTTTTTGTATTTTTAGTAGAGACGGGGTTTCACTGTGGTCTCGATCTCCTGACCTCGTGATCTGCCCGCCTCGGCCTCCCAAAGTGCTGGGATTACAGGCGTAAGCCACCGCGCCCTCCCGAGTTTTTTCTTTTTAAAAGATTCTTAGAACTTATGTTCAGCACAGAGCTGACATTCAATAAATGTTTGATGAAATCTGCCTCTGGATAATTTCATCTATTTGAAGCTAAGCTTAAGGGGCAGCTTTTTGTAAAATATTCCCTAATACTATACAATGAGCATTTCGTAAATAAGTATATTTAATGTTGAAGGTACTGGTGTATGTTCATTTGTGGATGCAAAGATGTTATGTCCCTGTGTGTAGGAATTAGGAGAGCAAGTGGTTAATGGCAGGGTCTGAATCTGAAAAATACCATAATATCCTTCAAGTAGTCACTTTTTCCATCTTATTTCCATTCTCCCTGGCTATGTTATGTATGTATATATGTATAAAGACATACTGAGAGACAGGACTAGCTGGATTTCCTAGGCGGACTAAGAATTCTTAAGCCTAGCTGGGGAAGGTGACCGCACCGCCCTTTAAATACGGGGCTTGTAACTCAGCTCACACCCAACCAATCAGGTAGTAAAGAGAGCTCACTGAAATACCAATTAGGCTAAAAACAGGAGATAAAGAAATAATCAAATCATCTATCACCTGAGAGCACAGGGGGAGGAACAATGATTGGGATATAAACCCCAGGCATTCGAGCTGGGAGTGGGCAGCCCCCTTGGGGTCCCCTCTCATTGTATAGGAGCTCTGTTTTCACTCTATTAAATCTTGCAACTGCACCCTCTTCTGGTCCGTGTTTGTTCTGGCTGGAGCTGAGCTTTCGCACACTGTTCCACCACTGCTGAATGCCACTGTCACAGACCTGCCGCTAACTTATACTCCTCTGGATACGGCAGGGTGTCCGCTGCCCTCCTGATCCAGCGAGGCATCCATTGCGGCTCCCTATCGGGCTAAAGGCTCGCCATTGTTCCTACACAGCTAAATGCCCGGGTTCGTCCTAATCAACCTGAATACTAGTTGCTGGGTTCCACGGTTCTCTTCCGTGACCCACGGCTTCTAATAGAGTTATAACACTCACCACATGCCCCAAGGTTCCATTCCTTGGAATCCGTGAGGCCAAGAACCCCAGGTCAGAGAACAAAAAGCACCCCGCCACCATCTTGGGAGCGGCCTGCCACCATCTTGGGAGCTTGAAGAACAAAGACCCGCCTGTAACATTACCACATACACAGACATGCTCTATATTTTTACGATTGAATTTCTCTAGTGAATTTATCATTTCTTTCCTTTTCCTCTTATTTCCCTGTTGAAAACATACTGAAACAAAGTTACACTTTGTGATTATTAACATTAGAATTTTCAAGCTAGAAATCCATGTATCTTCCCTCACAGTCTATTATCTTTATGAAGTAACAGAATGAAACCACCAGAGATAATGCTATATTTCAGTAAATAAATTATTTCAAATTACTTTTATCCAACCCTCATACAAATGGAGACTGTGGATACACTTCTATCCCCAAAGAGAAGTAATTTTCCTCAAATGCCTATATAAAAAATGAATTATTGTTCAATGATTAGTTATATGATAAGGATGAATATTTAATATCACTGCTTTTTAACTAGACTAATAAAATCGACATTTACTGTTTGGTTATTAAGATTAGACCCGGTTTTACAATAAAATTTCATATATTGGATAACCTGGAGAATCTACAGAATATTTTAAACAATAATTCATTTTTCCAGAAAACAAATTATTTCACTTCATGTTATTTTTTATAGTACATACAAACAGAACAAATATGTTTGCACTAAATTATATTTTTTATGGTTTATTTTAAACATTTTAGTGATAACCTTATCTTTCTAATAGTCCTATCACTTTCTGAAAGCATGATCCTGAATTTCCTCTGGTTTTATCAATCATAAAACATGATTTTAGGCATATAGTAATCTACCCACTTAAACAATCAACTTCTACATTTGGGTATAATTACTACATAATGCATGATGAAATGAATTATACACACCTTGGGTAGTGTGTTTCCTAAAGTCCGTCTGACAATTTAAAATTTAGAAATGCATACAAACATGGCATCCAAAATCCAGTCTCTGTATATTACAGAGGTCTATGAAGATTAAGGTTTTTTGCTTTTTCATAATTTTGTTAAGTTATAAATTTGAGGACATAACGAATTTATGACAGTTTTAAATTGGCCTCAAAACAATCTAGGATAGTCAGGGTTTCAAGAGCAAATTTTATCAGTGGGGCATGTTTGTTAATTAATGAATTACAAACCCAAACAGGAAGTTCCTCAGAGCCCAATGTTCTATCTATAAAAAGGGTCATTGAAAAACTGGACTGGGAATCATAATGAAATAAAATTATTTAATTTCACATTCTATTCATATCTCAGAACTTATACATAAAAGAGAGAAAGAGGCTCAAAGAAGAGACATAAACATTCAAGTTATAGAAATTCTGTAAGACAAGAATGAGGTGTATTAACCTCAGGCTCTAAAATAGGAGAAAATTAACATTGTGTGTAAATAGTTACGGCATTTTCAGAGTTAGCAGAAACTTCTCAGATGTTATCACTAACGCTTTGTAGATATTTTATTCCCTTTTGGAAAAACAAGCTCATAAAAACAATACTTCAATAAAATATATACGCCTAGTATTGTATGATGTACTGGTAGCACAGGGAAGAAAGCCATTTATTTTTAGAGATATTCAAAACCCTCACTGATCACCACTGCTGCAAAAAGTACAAGTTTAGCACTATAAGAGTTAAAGAGCAGCGGAAAATGCCCATCTTGTTATGGCAGGGGAGAGTATTAGAAATGAAACCTTAGTTTTATAAATTTCGAAACTGTACAGACAGAATGTGCAGTATTAGCTTTGCCAACACTATCTGGGATAATAAGAATATTTACCTGATAGAATAAGTCACATAAATTTAGAAGACCTTAATAATTTTAGGAGGGTACTTTGAACAAGTTTTCTCTCTCATGCTGTTTTTTAGAAACTGATCCTAGCAACTGGTTAGATAAAAATGATCAGAAATACTGAATGCAATGTGTTAAATGATTTTCAATGTTTAGAACTCTGTTAGAAAAAAATAACATTTTGGAAAAAGTAGATGCAAAAGAAGTCATAATATAGAAGTAAAATTTTTTTGGGGTGTTACCTCTGTGAAATCTCATACAAACTTCCAAGACACACTTAAAAATTTGGAATACCTCCTGTATGCATTGTGTTCCTTTTTCATTTTTGGCAACCATTTACATTTCCACCAATGTTTGTGGATCTACCCTCTATCAGTATTTTTCTTGAACTTGTGGGTTTAGTGATGAACAAAAATGATAAAATCTCTTCCCTATAAGAACATATATAATGACTACACATATACATAAGCCTATATGTAACTAATAAATTTTAAGGAACAATATTCAGAGGTGTGATACCATTTGAAGCAAATGGAATAAAAGAAGTAACAGTAAGATTACAAAATTTGGTGCATTAAAAATAACAAAATTATCTTAAATCCATTGAGGAACTAAACACTATTACAAATACATTTGAGAGGCAAGGGCAACAAAGGAAACCTCCTTGATTTAAAATAAAATCAATACTAAAATTATAATCTATTTAGAAATAATCAATAGCCTATGTATTAAAATATATGAATTATTCTCAGAGTGGTGGTCAAATAAAAATGTAAATATGTAAATGCGTTTGTTGGACTATAAAAAAGAACATATGTATTATCAAATATTAATTTTTAAAAATCCTACAAATATTAAAAATTAGAGCAGAAGGGAATAAAGACAAAAAATAATTAAAAGAATGTATTAAAAGCAACATTAAAGAAAATAATGCCAATACCTGTGTTTTTGAAAGACATATAAAGTAGAAAAAAGGCCTTTGGGAAATACTAAT